>NC_000013.11:82381962-82534803 GCF_000001405.40 Homo sapiens
CTTTTCTTGATAAATCACCCCATCTTGGATATCTCTTCACAGCAGCATGAGAAGCAGGCTTTTTTGGGTGACATCCAATAGAATATTGAATATAATTCAGAAAATATTATTTATTATTATGTTTTGAGAAAATATTATTTTTTTAAAATTTTCTTTCCTAGTAAAACCCTACTCTTAAGAGACTTTGTGAAACCCCTCTCATGATTTGATTCCCTCTGTTTTTAAAAGGAAAAAAGACATAAATGGTAGTTATATGGACCTTGCTTCTCATACAGTAGAATCTCCTCTATCTGAAATAATCAAAATTATCACAGTGACAGAGTCTAATTCTATTTACTTCTTATTATAAACATTAGGGGCAGGCTTACTCTGTTGCCTCAGAGCAATACACAGAACTGACTTCATCTTCTATATCCAAAACCATTACAAAGAAAAGGTTCAATTAGATATATTTTTTTCTTATATGAGGCATAATAATATGCATGCATTAAAGGAGCAAATACTCTCATTAAGTTACGCAGACTAAACCATAACACTTGCCTCTACTCTATTCCCTTGTTATAACTTAACCAAATTATAACATGGTAATGAAACAGCATAAATCTTGAGGTATTGTGTTCAAAAGCATTATAAGTAAATAGACCTGATAGGTCTGAGAATTTTTAAACAGGATTGTTCATGAGTCACTTGTAGCAACTAATTTGAAAGTGAATGGGTGGAATTTGAGATTCGATTTTCCATAATAAACTGAATGTTTTGCGGGAGGGTATGTTCTCTTCCTGGTGATTCTGGGTTCTGCTGAATTGAAGGTTTAGCTGTCACCACTGGATCACAAGCTGGGGTTTATCTGGGGTTCCTTGTGCAACTGAACAAACTAACAAAAATAGTTCACTTTATTACTGGGGTAATTGATCTTGACCGTTGAGGGAAAATAAGGTGACCGCTGGACAAAGGTGCAGTGGAAACCAGGAGTATGTATAGAACCCTGGGGATTCTCTGTAGTACCTCTTGTACTTGTCCATATGGTTTAAAATAATAAAATCCTTGTAAACCTCCATATAGGCCTCAGAAAACCAAAGCAAAACCAAAAGTCTCTGTTCCTTAATTATAAGATTTAAGTCACACTATTAGGCAACTCGCTGATAGCAAAGAATGTGTAGAATGGGTGGTAGGGAAAGAAAAGTCATAAATGTCAATAAAACCCTTATGATTAGTTACAGAAATAAATTGAGGTATTAAACCATATTTTATTTTTTGTGCCATATAAATTTACCTATTTCAAATAATTTCTTTCTATTGATTATTTTATCCCCTTGCTCTTATGTATAAAATGTGATAATGGTAATCAAAATTATAGTGTATGTCAAGATTTAGAAAGGATGATTGCAGAGAAAATACCAAACTAGAGCCAAAATGGTCATCAGAGCCAGATATCTGAAACATGAAACTGAAATGATGACCTAGCTGATGTTGGAGATGGTATTAAAGCATTTTGGAAATTTTTAAAAATATATTTGGGGCTTTTATGGGATATTCTACTTAGGAAGGAAAATTTAAGAATTTGTCCAAATTGGTTAGAAAGTGGTGTGCGTGTGTGTGTGTGTGTGTGTGTGTGTGTGTACATATTACAATGAATTGACATAGACTATAGAAAGTTTGTAGTATTTTTTTTAATCTTTTCAGGACATACAAATTTCAATTTGAGAAACTACCTTTTCACCAAAGTTTGAAGTACTAGTAAGATTATAATAAAGATGCTCTGCTTTACTCTCTCCAAGTGAGATATTCATGACTGAAGCTAAACTAATGACCTCATCTTTCTTAAGATGCTGATCTCAAATGGCGTGATACAATAAAGTGAATGCAGTAGAAGATGTCCTTGTGGACTACACTGCCCCAAGTTGCCTTAATTCCTAAAATGTTTCTTGTTTTGCTTCCAAGGATTGATCTCTATTCTCTCCAGTATTATCAAATACTGTTTAGTTTCAACATATTTATTTTTTACTTAACTTGGTCAAATGTAGATTATAAATTTTGCAACCAAGTAAACCAAATTGATAATCATGATATAGAGGCATTAATTCATTTCTACTTTATAATTGGTATTAGGTTGGTGCAAAAGTAATGGTGGTTTTTGCCATTAAAAGTAATGGTGTAGGGCCAGGCACGGTGGCTCACGCCTGTAATCCCAGCACTTTGGGAGGCCGAGGCAGGCAGATCACTTGAGGTCAGGAGTTCGTGACCAGCCTGGCCAACATGGTGAAAGCCCATCTCTACAAAAATATGAAAATTAGCCGGGCTTAATGACAGGTGCCTGTAATCCCAGCTACTCGAGAGGCTGAGGCATGAGAATTGCTTGAACCCGGGAGGCAGAGGTTGCAGTGAGCAGAGATTGAGCCATTGCACTCCAGCCTAGGCAACAGAGTGAGACTCTGTCTCAAATAAAAAAAATAAATAAAAATTAATGGTGTAAATCACACTTACTTTTGCACCAATCTAATATTATTCTTAGTAATAATCAACGTTAAACTATATTCAATATCTTTTTTATCTTTGAAAAAACTTTCTAGTCTTTCTCTTACATAGTAATTTATTTAATTTTATTAATATTCTGAAACGATATCCTTGGAATAATTTTTTTAGTGTATTATATATTAGTTGTCATATTTTAGTAGATATGTATTCATAATGGAATTCTGTAGTTTTTTTTAGTATGGTTGTTAATTGTTTAAGGTTTCAATAAATATATTTCTGAATTTTATGTAATTATATATCACTACATTACCTCAAATGAATTAAATGACATTAGACTTAACTCTTCCTGAAAATTTGATCAAATTTACCTTGTTACATAAAAGTCTGGGGCTTATTTTGGTGATACTTATTTTATTAACTTATTAACTTCTCAGATATTTATTCAATTTATGACTTCTTTTGGACTTCGTTTCTGAGAATTGTTTTTCTAATTGAACTTTAAATGGAATTTTAGACTGTCTACATTAGAGTTAGCAAATTGTCATCCTAAGACTCACATAGATTTTGTATTGTTTTAAAACCTCACCCCTTTTAACAAGAAAACCAAAACAACAGCACTGAAAAAACTTTAGCATGTTATATTTTCATAAAGTTTTTGTTTGTTTGTTTGTTTGTTTGAGAAGGTCTCACTCTGTCACCCTGGCTGGAGCACAGTGACATGATCAAAGCTCACTGCAGCTTGTAACTCCTGGGCTCAAGAGATTCTCCCACCTCCACCTCCCAAGGTGCTGAAAGTACAAGCGTGAACCACATGTCCAGGGTATTTAAATAAAGTTATTAAGCAATTGTTAAAAATTCATATTGCAAATTTTAGTGTATCTCAACACGACCTGAAATCAGTCATACACTTGTCAATATTTATTGACTGTCCCTGAACTCCAGCCCTCTTCTCATTGGTAAAACACAACAGTGCATAAATAAGACAGATATTTCCAATTTCTTTCTTTCTTTCTTTTCTGAGACAGAATTTCACTCTTGTTGTCCAGGCTAGAGTGCAGTGGCATGATCTCGGCTCACTGCAACCGTGGCCTCCCGGGTTCAAGCGATTCTCCTGCCTCAGCCTCTGGAATAGCTGGGATTATAGGCACCCACCAGCACGCCCGGCTAATTTTTTGTATTTTTAATAGAGATGGGGTTTCACCATGTTGGCCAGGCTGGTCTCAAACTCTTGACCTCAGGTGATCCGCCTGCCTCAGCCTCCCAAAGTGCTGGGATTACAGGCATGAGTCACTGTGCCTGGCCAGAATTTTCTAATTTCAAAAGATTATATTTGTTAAAGAAAAATAAAAATGGAGGCTACAGTTAAGATACACCCCAATACCAGCTACACATTGCCACATACCCAAAACATGTCATCCTGATTTCCTTGAAATGCTATCTCTAATCATAATAAAACACAAAATGTAAGTGTTACATTTCTGCCAGCATGATTTAGTCAAATTAAACCAATCAACCATAGACAAATCAGCTTAAACAGCTCTGCTTGACTTAAAAAGAATGTTACTATATAACAGCCAATCATGAAAAAGGTCAAAATATTTCCTTCTTTATGCTTTAGTAACTGTGCTGTCACTGCTGTGAGTGGATCTTCTTACCATGTTCAGTTTGAGGTCTCCCAGTTAACAAAGCGGTCTTTCTTTGGACAATGAACTTTTAAATTGTTCCTCACTTAATTTCATTTTTGACACCTGCATGGATATGGGCAACATAGAAGTAAATAAGCAATATATGTAGGATAAAATGAAAACTATGAGGTGAAGCAGAGAAATAAATAGAGAGTGTTATGTGATGGCATTGATTAGTATAATCGGAGATGGCCTCATTGAGATGGTAACAGTTGAGCAAAACTGGAAAAAGGCAAGTAAACCAGGCAACTAGTTTTCTGGGGGAATAAGCTTTCCAGCAGAAGGAACTATATTTGCAAGAGACAGTTGCAAAGTTTGTGAAGTATAACTAGGCTGATATGCTTGAAGGTAAGGGAGTAAGGAAATGATTAGATGAAGATGAGACCAAAGAGGACAAAGGAAGGGTGCTCACAGAAGTTGGGGGCTGGGCCATCTTAGAACTTTAGGTTTTACGCTGAGCAATGTGAGAGGCCATTTGAGCATGTTGAGCAGAGGATAACATCTCCTGATTTATATGTTAAAGTTATCACCGGAATGCTGTGTAAAGATATTTTTAAACTTATTTCTAATAATTCAAAGTTAATTGAAAAACTCAAATATATTCTTTAGAACACAAGGTTAAAGGGACAAGTTTGAGGGTGAAGAAGGCAGGTGCATTAATAAATTTGTAAAAATTATGTTTAAATAGTTAGATTTCACCCTTACCAAGTGTCTATTCCAGCGAGGACAAACCTCTGCCCTTTCCATGGTGGAAGAGGTCCAATATAGTCAATCTGCCACCAGGTAGCTGGCTGATCACCCTGGGGAATGGTGCCATATTGAGGGCTCAGTGTTGGTCTCTGCTGCTGGCAAATTGGGCACTCAGCAGTGACTGTAACCAGGTCAGCCTTGGCGAATGGAAGTTCATGTTGCTGAGCCCACACATAATCTCCATCCCTGCCACCCCCACTTTGTTCATGGGCACATTGGGCAATGACAGGGGTGGCTGGGGAAAGAGGCTGAGTGGTATCCACAGAACGGGTCATCCTATCCACTTGACTATTAAAATCCTCCTCTCCTGAGGTCACCCGTTGGTGGGCACAGTGCACAGTAACCCTGGTAAAAGGCCAGAGGTCTCTTTGGGGGAATGATTAGAGAAAGTTTCACTGCATAAATTGTCAGTAATGTAGTGGGGTCCTTTCTCAATAGGATTTGGCCTCTTCTTTATTCAAGGGGTTCTGGGTCTGTAAACTGGCTCAAGTCTGCAAATTGATTGAGGGACAGTGATTCTCTGTTTTTATAATTCAAATTAGCCTTTTGTCATTCGACCTAGAAGTTTTCTCCTTGTATAAATTAAGTAGGAATGCAGTAGGCTTCTTATCAATTTTACTTCTAGGAACACCGTGATTAATTAGCCCATGCCAGAGCACTACATGAGTCAGACTATTCTGATTGCTGCCTTGTCTCTGCTGCCCATTATGGTAGCTACGTCCACCTTGCCTTTGATGGTTGAGTGCCACCACTTGGCCCCTGCCACCTCAGGATCCAATCATTCCCATTCTATTTAAATTTTGTAGTTGAGTGACTGCAGTTCCCACTGTTAGATCTGACGTACAGAGAACAGCAACTACAGGGCTATTCAGAGATGCAGGTTCTGCTGTCACAGATCTATTTTGTAAGGCATTGGTCAGGGGAATAGCTTCTGGATCCTCCCAGCTGGGATGAGTAGATCTAAAATGACTAATCCACTCCATCTTCCCAATCTCCCTAAGCCTTTGGAACCCTTCCTCTACATTAAACCAAGGGAGAGCAGGCATTCTTAGCTCACTCACAGTGGGCCATCTTCTAATCCATATTTCAGCTAACCAAGCAAATAAACTATTAGAACCTTTTTTAACTCCTTGATCTGCAACATTAAATGAAGAGTCCCTACTTAGTGGGCCCAAATCAATAAATTCAGCCTGATCCAACTCAATGTTCCTTTAATCATTATCCCATACCCTTAATATCCATTCCCACGGCTCTTTTCCAGATTTCTATTTATATAAGTTAGAGAACTCAAGCACTTCTTTTTGAGTGTAGCATACCTCTTCATTGGTCACACTCTCAACTTCACCTCTAAGGGGCCCACCGGGACTTTAGTCTAGTTATAAGTCTAGAAGCAAACAGAGGTGTTGGGGGTGGCTCTTGAGGAGAGTCAACATTATTTTGCCTGGTAAGTGCCTCAGAGTTGGGGGGCATCGCTGTTGCCTCAAACAGTGCCGTGTTTATCTCCTTAGACAAAGGTGGAAAAGGCTGATGGAAGCATGGGTCAGGGAGGGGATGCTGCCACTACTTGGGATGGGGAAGCTGTTCCTTCCGGCAAAAAAAGTTCATTAGAGTTTATAAACTCAGTGTCCCCAGCTTCATAAGGGTCCTCCCACACATCCCCATTCCAAGTTTCAGGGTCCCATTCTTTTCCAATCAATGCCCTCACTTTAACAGTAGACACCTGGCAAGGCTGTGCATGCACCTTTCATTGCAGGTCAGCCACTCACATGATAATAGCTTGTGTCTGATTTTCTACAATTCTAGTTCTTTCTCTACAGGAGATAAGACTCTCACTCAGGGCAATCTTAGCAGATTTGAGGCTCAGTATCTGCTTCTGAAGCTGGGAGACAGAACCCTGAATTCATCATTTTCTTTCATCATTTTGAGGCAGGAAGATTGCTTGGACTTAGGAGGTCGAAGCCACAGTGAGCGGAGATTGAGCCACTACACTCCAGCCTGGGTGACAGAGTAAGGCTTTGCCTCAAAAAATGAAACAAATGAGACTCTGTCTCGAAAAAAAAAAAAGTCTCCAAAGACTGTCCATCTCTCTTTTCTTTTTCTTTTTTAAAAATTATTGCTGTAAGAACAGTTAACATGAGATATAACCTCTTAAAACTTTGAAAGTACAGTACAGTATTTTAAACTATGGGTACAATATGGTCAGCAGATCTCTATAAGATTCATCTTGCTTTACTGAAACTTCATTCCCATTGAACAGTAACTCCCCATCTCTCCTCTCCCTAGTCTTTGGCAACAACCATTCTACTCTGAGTTTGACTATTGCACCAACCTGATATTTTAGATGTCTCACATGTGGAATCATTAGTATTTATATGTCTTTCTGGGATTGGCTTATTTCAATTAGCATTGTACCCTCCTGGCTCATCCATGTTTTTGCATGTGACAGATTTATTCTTTTAAAGGCTGCATAATATTTCATTGTATATCTATTCCACATTTTCTTTTATAACTCCTATCCCCAGTTTTGCTTAATATGGTTTCAGTTAAAAGTCAACCGTAGTACAAAGATACTACATTTAAAAATTCCAGAAAAAAATCATGTTTTAAATTGTGCACCGTTCTGAGTAGTCTAATGAAATCTCAGCTGCAGGACTTAGTTCTGCTCAGGATGTTAATCATTCCTTTGTCTGGTATATCCCTGTTGTCTACACTACCTACCCATTAGTAACTTAGTAGCTGTCTTGGTTATCACATCAACTGTCTCAGTATTGCAGTGCTTGTGTTTGAGTAACACTTATTTTACTTAACAATGGCCCCCAAGACAGATGAGTAGTGCCTTTGGCATATTTTTATAAATGTTCTATTGTGTTAGTTATTCCTGTTAATATCTTACTATGTCTAATTAATACACTGCACTTTATCATTGGTATGTACAAAAAAAAAAACAACATAGTACTTATGGGCTTTGGCACTGTCTGCAGCTTTAGGCATCCACTGAGGGTCTTGAAACATATTCCCTGTGGTTAAAAAGGTGGTACTATGTTCTTAAGACATGGATGCCTTGGTAACTTTGAAACCCAAATTCTATCTCCCATAGGCAGTGAGACTGCCACAGTCTCTGGTCTTTTTTTCTTTCTACTTGGCTTCTGAGCTTTATGCCTCCTCAGTTATCAATTTCCCAAAAGAAAAAAGTAAAAAACAGATTTTGGGTTTCTTTATCTCATTAATCTTTTTGAGGTGTTGTTATTTTTTAATTGATATAGTTCTACATTTTGGGAGGTGCATGTGATATTTTGATATATATATATATAATGTGCCATGATCAAATCAGGATAATTAGGATATCCATTGTCTCAAACATTTATCTTTTGTGTTGGGAGCACTGCAATTCTTCTTTTCTATCTATTTTGAAATATATAATAAATTATTGTGAACTACAGTCTTCCTACTGCATTATCAAATACTAGAACTTATTCCTTCTAACTGATTTTTGTACCTGTTAACCAACCTGTCTTCATTCCCTCTTTCTGTTTACCCTTCCCAGCCTCTGGTAATCAACATTCTATACTCTAACGTCACAAAATACATGTTTTTAGCTCCCATACATGAGGGAAAACATGTATTGTTTTCTTTTCATGCCTGGGTTATTTAATCATATCCAGTTTCACCGATGTTGCTGAAATTGACAGGACTTCATTCTCTTTATGGCTACATAATATTCCACATTTTCTTTACCCATTAACCCACTAATAGACACACATTAATTACATTATTTTGGCTATTGTGAATAGTGCTGCAATAGACATAGGATTGCAGATATCTCTTTGATATACTGATTTCCTTCTTTTTTTTTGGATATATACCAGCAGTGGAATTGTTGGATCATATTGTAGTTCTATTTTTAGTTTTTCTGAGGAACCTTTATACTCACTTCCATAGTGCCTTACTACTTTACATTTCTACCAACAGTGTTAGAGTATTTTCCTTTCTCTACATCCTTGCCATCATTTGTTATTTTTTTGTATTTTTGATAATAGCCATTTTAACTGTGGTGGTGATATCTCATTGTAGCTTTAATTTGCATTTGTCTGATAATTAGTGATGTTGAGCTTTTAAAAATATAGTTGTTGACCATTTGTATGTCTTCTTATGGCATATGTCAATTTAGGTATTTTGCCCATTTTTTAATTGTATTATTTGTTATTTTTGTTTGGTTTTGCTACTGAGATGTTTAAGTTTCTTATATATTCTTATTATTAATGCCTTATCCGATAGACATTTCACAAATATTTTCTCCCATTTTGTAGGTTGTCTCTTTGTTATTTTTTTAAAATTTTTTGTTGTGTGGAAGCTTTTTAGCTTGATATAATCACATTTTTCTATTTCTGCTTTTGTTGTCTGTGCATTTAAAAAAGAGCTAATACCAGTTAAACTATTTTCATAATTTGAAAAGAAGGAAAATCTAAAAGTTATTTTACTCCATAGTAAAACAAAACTACATGTCAATATCACTGATGAAGTTTAATGAAAAAAATCTTCAACAAAATACCAACAAACCAAATACAATACCATATTAAAACCATTGTTCACCATGATCAAGTGGAATTCATCTCAGAGATGCAAGAATGGTGAAACATACACAAATCAATAAACCTGATACATCACCTCAAATGAATCAAGAGCAAAAACCATATGATCATTTCAATAGATGTTAAAAAAACATTTGATAAAATTCACCATTTACTCATGATAAAAACTCTCACTGAACTGGGTATCAAAGGAACATGCTACAACGTGATAAAGGCCATATATGTCAAACAGATAATATCATACTGAACAGGGAATAAGTGAAAGCCATTCCACTAAGATCTAGAACAAGACAAGGATGCCATTTTCACCATTTGTACTGTACATAGTTCTTTAGGTCCTAGCCAGAGCAATTCGGTAGGAGAAAGAAATAAACAGCATTCAAATTGGAAGATAAAGTCAAATTATACTTATTTGCAGACAACATAATCTTATATTTTAAAAACCTAAAGACTCCACCACAAAACTGTTAGAACTGATAAATGGATTCACCAAAATTGCAAGTTATAAAATCAACATACAAAAATTAAGTGATATTTCTATATGCTAACAGCGTTCAACCTAAAAAAAATGAAGATAGCATTTCCATTTACAATAGCCAGAAAAAAAAATAGCTAAGTATTTTAAAGAAGTAAAATTTGTGTTCAAGTAAAACTATAAAACATTGATAAAAGAAATTGAAGAGAACACAAAAATGGAAATATATCCCCTGTTCATGCATTGAAATAATTAATATTTTTAATGTCCACATTACCCAAATCAATTTCCAGATTCAATGCAATCCCAACCAAAATACCAAATGACATTGATAAAACAATTCTAAAGCTTGATAACACCATTAAAAAACCTAAATACCTAAAGTCATCCTGAGCAAAAAACAACAACAACAATAAAACAATGCTGCAGGCATCTTATCACCTGATTCAAATTATATAATGAAGCTATTCTAATCAAAATTACATAGTACTGGCACAAAAACAGACACATATGTTAGAGTAGGCAGGTAGCCAGACATAAGCAGGAGGGGGAACCCCTAAGAAAAGGGAGGTCTGGAAAATCTCACACAACAGGGACCACCTACATAGGCATGCTAGATATAAGCAGAGAGTTGATGAAATAGCTAGGTAGAAAGGACATCCATTAAGATGCCCAGTAATCATTCACTCTGCAGTTAACCTGTGAAAATATAGCTAGGTAAATGCTGATAAGAGGGAAAACAAGAAAGTCCTAAAAAAAAAAAAAAAAAAAAAAAAAGGAAAAAATCCTGGCACCTAAGTACAAATTAGGACAGAGACAAAAGTTCCAAGGAGATACATAGGCATAGTAAGTACATATTTAACTGCTATATGACCTTCCTGGGTTGGCAGTAATGAGCAATGCAGCCACTATGTAGGATTTTTATCCAACACGGGCCCACACTTGTGCACCAACAAAATAGTAACAGAGGGTCCCAGAAGCATGGGGGAGGGCACTAGGCAGGTGCAGGAAAACTAAACAAAGGAAAGCAGCAGAGATGTGAGATAGAGGAGGAAATTTGAAGTCCAACATGATAAAAACTCCCTGCACAGGACCCTCAGTATGGTTTTCTCGCTGGATCAGCCCACTCCTCCCTTGAAACGCACCTATTTTTCCTACAATAAGCTCTTTACACTATATTCTTTTTCAATACAATTATTTATCTTTGTACTGTCCCCTTGGTTGAAATCTTTCATCCAAAGTTAGATAAGAACTGGGACATCTGCTTTCCCCGGTAACACATAGACCAATGGAACAGGATAGAGAAATAAGGAGAGCCAACATCACCTGGTGGCCATCAAGCAGACCATCCACAGGCAAAACTCCTTATCTGAGGAATTCAGAAGTAATCTGACTTCCCTATTATCTAAAGCTGGCATCTGGTCCTAGGCTTCTTTCCTAAAAATGTATAAGTAACTGGAATTTGTACACATCTCCAGAATGCATACTTGTCAAAACTCATTGTGCAACCCTTGCTGTCACCAAGGCACCAAAATGTCTACAAATGCAATCATTTATCATGACCTATGTGACTTTTATGGTCCAAGTTACCCTTAAGTTCCTTACTTTCAGATCCATAAATACACCTAAGAAAAATCCACTGTAGCATGCTCAGTCCCCTCTTGCTGAAGCACCCTGCTGCACTCTGCTGCAGTGTCCTTTCTATCTAACAAAACTTTCTTTTTCAAACCTTACTGTTGTTGGTAAATTCTTTTACTACCTGCAAGCCAACCACTCCCCACCATCGGGCTCTGATGCCTTCCCCAGCAAAAACTAAGGAATAAATGTATGTATTTACAGCCAACTCACTTTTGACAAAGGTGCTGAGAACATATATTGGGGAAAAGACAGTATCTTTAATAAATGGTGCTGGGAAAACTGGATATCCATATGCAGAAGAATAAAACTACGTATTTATTTTTTACCATATGCAAAAATCAACTCAAAAGGGATTAAAACTTAATGTAAGACCTGACACTGATAGCAGCAGGAGACAGACAAATTCCTGGGCAGACAGGGTTGGGTCCCTAGCAAAACCCAACCTTCAAGCCAAGGACAATACAAAGTTTGAAAACTGAGCTGCCAGTTCCAGATAGAGTCCACGACCAGAGTGAGAACTTCCATCTTCCATCTTACCCACTCTCTCTCTCAATTGGTTCCTTCTGAATGATGCCTTTCAACTAATCAAATAGTGCTTTTTCCAAGACCATCAATGGACCAATCAGCACACATTCTCACATTCTAAGCCCATAAAAACCCCACACTCAGCCTCAGAGACAACAACCCACTTTTGGGTCCCCTCTCTGTGCTGAGAGCTTTCTTTCTGCCACTCAATAATATTCTACTCTGCCTTACTCACTCTTCAGTGTCTGCGTACCTTAGTCCTTTTGGTTGTGGAACAAGAACCCAGTATTCACCAAACTGTGGGAGCAAAAGAGCTGTAACACTTCTGCTCACTGAGCTGTGGGTGGTGGGAGTAAAAGAGCTCTAACCCTTCCTCCCACTCGACAAACACATTCTAAGCCCATAAAAACCCCACACTCAGCCTCAGAGACAACAACCCACTTTTGGGTCCCCTCTCTGTGCTGAGAGCTTTCTTTCTGCCACTCAATAATATTCTACTCTGCCTTACTCACTCTTCAGTGTCTGCGTACCTTAGTCCTTTTGGTTGTGGAACAAGAACCCAGTATTCACCAAACTGTGGGAGCAAAAGAGCTGTAACACTTCTGCTCACTGAGCTGTGGGTGGTGGGAGTAAAAGAGCTCTAACCTTTCCTCCCACTTGACAAACAACAGGAGTGAAGAAGTCAATGGGTGTCAGGCCCTTCTACTTGCTGAGCTATAGGAGTGAAGAAGTGAAGCAGCTGGGCACCACTCTCTCCTGCTTGCTGAACTATGGGAGTGAAAAAGCTGCAACAACACCATGTAGGTACGAGAAGAAAATGTTGGAAAAACACTCCAGGAAGTTGGTCTGGGCAAAGATTTTTTGGGTAAGACTTTAAAAGCACAGGTAACAAAAGCAAAAATAGGCAAATATGTTGACCTTTTCTCCAGGATCCCATTATTTTTTTAAGGTAATTTGCCTTTGGTTTCTTTTAACCTAATTGGGAATACAACTTCACTCAGGTTTCAGCTCAGATGCTACTTGTTAAGGAATAACTTACCAAGTTACAAAGCAATAATATTTATTTCCTACTGCTACATATCATTTTTTAATTTAATTCATAGAATTTATCACTAACTGAAGTCACTTTAAAATTTTATTATTTTCTTACATGTTTGTTGGTTTCTCCCATGAAAAAATAAACTCCTTGAAAGCAGAACCTTTGGCTTTCTTGATCTCCATCACATTCTCATTGCATGAATACAGCTGGTATTGAATATGCTGTTTTGTATGTTTTTTAAAAATGAATTTTAAAAGGCCAAGCTTAATATTCAATTAGGAATTTCAACAAATAATGTACCTGGTCTCTAGAACATTGATATTAATGTTAATGCTTAGTCTAGAATTAAGACTATGGATTAAGTAATGTACATTTATGTTGGTGATTAATGGATAATGTACTTGAAAGAAAATTATTTTTTGTAACTAACCGTCAAGTAAATAAATATCTGTAAAATCTATTCACTTATTTAAAATTTGTTTCAATTCAAAATAGCAATCAGTAGGAAAAATTTATCCAACTAAACTTAGTTTTATGGGGAAAAAATACATAAACAAACAAATGAAAAACACGTCATTTTAATTTTAATGGTCCCAAACATTCTTATATCATTACATAAATCATTCTTTAATTTATTTTGTTTATTATCTTAAGAAAGGTATGTTTTCAAACACCTGAAATTAATTTTACATTACTTAGCTTTTAAAAAAATCTTTATACTTGCCATGAAGTGTGGGCATCATAAAAATCTGTTTATAAAATAAAGTAGAATTTTTAAAAAACTTCACTATCATAATCCTTCCCTGTGAATATTTTAAAAAATGTGTTAATCACATCTACAACTACTTAGAAACAAAGGCTTTGTTTAGACACCAAAATAGCAAAGTGTGTAGATTTAAACAAAAACCAAACCTTTGACAGAAGACAATAAAATAACTAAAAACGTGCCTCTTGCTTTTGGAATATTTTTTATGCATCAGTAAAAATCTTTTCAGCCAAGTAATAGAATAAAACATAATTAGAAAATGGCAGTCGAAAATGGCAGTCAATTACTCTTGGAAGTATTTCTGTTTATCACCATTAAAATGTTGCTAAGACTAAAGACAAATAGTATGTGAGTGTGCATTTGTCAGATAAGAATTCTGAATAATTAGTGCTCTTAAGATTAGCATAAATAGCCTAAGGAAATGTTAGTACATAAAATAAGTCAAGAAAAAAGGATAAAAGGAGAAAGAAAGTAAAATAATGCCATTAGGCTATTATATAGTAGTTAAGAATCATTTTCTATGTTTTCATTTATTTAAAAATGCAAACATAATTGTTTTTTTTCTCCCACTCTGGCACAACCTGTCCTGACTTTACTCACATAATAAGCTAACACATTTTAATGGGGTTATATTCATTTATATCATATTTTCTGAACCTTTTTGGGTTATTTTTCAAACAAAAGTAATCAAACCATTTTAAATATTTTTAATTATCTACATAGAGCTGCTAATACTATTAGCAAAGTAGATTTAAATGAAATCAGAAAGCAGTAACTTACTGGCCAATCTGACATAGAATTGAGAGGAGGTGCCAGCTGGGCTTCCTGGGTCGAGTACGGGCTCAGAAAGCTGTGAAACTCACTCATTTTGTGCATCAGGACTGCTTTGGTCCTGGATGAATAATATTGAAGATATATGCTTAAAATAGTCCTAACACCAGGATTTGTGAATGTGTTTTCTTCCCCAAGAAATCTATAAACAGCAAAAATTTTGCTGTAAGTTTTCCTGTATCCTCTCTCCCTCTCTTCCTTCCCCCTCCCCAAAACTGGGGAACGTTAACTGCCCGTTTTTCTGTGACCAGTGGACCTTATCTCTACTCCCCATTCCAATTCCTTGTGAACATACTTTGTAAAGTCCTGTGAGATCCTGTCTCCTTTGCCATGCCACTGCAAGGTCATAAAGTAGATAAAACCTAAGTTATAATTCCGGTTTTCCTAAAATCTAAGACATGTCACAAAATAACTTACTGCCTTTGTTTCTCGCTCTGGTAACAACTTCCTGCCACACATATTTCCCTCCTTAAAGAGTTTAAAAGGCAATTACCCAAAACCAGCAGTGGCTACCCGTTTGGGACCCCTTCCATGCTGTGGAAGCTTTGTACTTCAACTCTGCTCAATAAAGCCTACAGCTTTTTCTCTCTCTCGGTCTGTGTCTCTATCACTCGCCATGGTCAGCTGCCACACCAATTCTTTGGCGTGGCTAGGCAAGAACCTTAGACGTTACAGAAGCACAACCACGAATCTTTCCTATTTGCGCCTGTCTTTTTTTTTTTCACCTCTTTTTTTTTTTTTTAAAAAAAAAGAAATATTTTCTACTGTTTATTTTTCAATTCAGAGTACTTTGTCATTTTTCTGATCAATACCTACCTCCTTCACCCACTGGCATAGGGATGTGTCCTTGGTCTTTCCTCTTTCGAGGTTTTCTATTTTCTTAATTTAAACTTTTATTCTGCCCCAGCCGTTGAAATTTTACTACTTCTTAATAAATGTTATTTAGCTATAGTTTTGAAAATCAACTTACTTATTTTTCCCATCCATACGCTACACAGCTTTAACCCTGTGGACTCAGGATTCCTAGCTGCAATCTGCAAAGTATCCTTTGCCTAACTTTAGCAGAAAATACATTTAAAATATGATTTTAGTTCACCAAATTTCCAGGATAAATTACTGCAGGCTGACAAGCTAAGAATACTGTCTGCCCAAACCAAGAAAGGAGTTTCTCCAGCCAAAATGCCTTTGTCACCACCACTCAGAGCTAATGCTGCAGCATGAAGAGTCCGCAAACTCTGGTGACTCTTGGGACCCTACCAAATGGTGCCCCTAAAGAGAACTAGTACTTCAAGAAAGGATTCTCTGAGCAACTTCTTTTTAGTGTTGTTTCTTCATGATTTAAGTATCATTTGGTTGAGGTTGATTGAAGTTGGCTTTGCCTTAGTGCTAAGGTAATATGAGATCTGTGTTTTAATGTGGGGAAATGGAACCTCTAATAAAGAAAATTTACATCTGCACAAAGTATTTTTAAATTATTGGGCAAAGAAAAGTGTGTCTGATAGTCACTAAACGTCCTTCCAGAAAAGTTTTGTTTTTTACACAGCTTGTCAATTCTATTCCTTTAGAGGCTATGTTTTAGCAGAATAATATAAAAAGTGGGTGGTTTTCACATTGTTATAGTGGTTATCTCTCATCACCTATTTTTATTAAAAAATAAAAGTAGACTTAACTTGTTTCAAATAAAAACAAATGAAAACTAGAAAAGGAGAAATTTTAATTACAAAGACTACTGCAATAGGGAAAATGTTCTAATCTCAGAAATCTGCAAGAATCTCATAATCAAACAGATAAAGCTTTCCTTTTATAGGGTAGGGAGGAGTAAGTAAATGTTTAGGAGCTTTCCCTTTAAAGGGAAAGCTGGACAAGCAAGAGGAAATGACTAGTGAAGTCCAACAGAAAAAGTGTCTCACTGTAGTCATCCAATTTTCAGGGTAACCTGGTAAGTGGCATGTTCCCCATTTGAGTGCTTGCTCAGGCTTGGAGGCAAGCAGAATGTTAGGAAGGAAAGAAGCCTGACTAGCCTTTGGTAGAGACAGAGCAAAGGATAAAAAATGTATAATTGTGAACATCTGGTCAGTTCCCCCGTAGCTCAAGGTAAATAAACTCTGTTCTTTACACCAGAATAAAAGTCAGCTTTCGAAGGTCTTAAAGATCAGGCATTTAGTGAGAAATAAAATAAAATAATAACAATTAAACATTGATGGAAGGAGTAAAACCAGGGTTTGAGATTTACAGGGCCAGTTGAAAAACATCTTTATATGGTGGGATGAGGGCAGCAGTGGCAATTTGATGCATTTACCAGGTTTCAGTTGAATTGTTTTTGTGATGGCTTGTACACCAGAGAGGTTTCAAGGAATATATGACCATCACTTGCTTCTAACCACTACAAAAGTAGTTCTTTAGGAAGCAGGAATCTTTTTCAGTGCCAGGCATGGCATTGTACAGAATCTATCAACAGAGTTTCTGTAGTTCTCTGGTGATGATTGGTAGTTTTGGTAAGATTGTTCACACTCCTGGTTATTTTCTGTATCAGAGATGACACATGGAGAAGTTTCAGCAAAATTCCTGAATGCACAACATAGCAACAGCTGCTGGCATGATGATGTTCTTATGTGACAGGTTATAGCAGTAGTGCTCAAGTTTTTTTGGCTTATTCCACCCAATATACTTTTAGTCTCTTGTTCTCAGGGTTCCTGAGAACTGGGCAAGAAAGAAAGATAACTGCATCCTGCTGGGGCCAAGATTATGTGACTAAGCTTTTAACTATTACATGTTTCTATAGACATGTTCAGTAGTCTACACCCAGAAAAATTTAAATCAGAGATAAATGAGTAGTTAAAAAAAAAAAAGGAAGTCTGGTTAAACACTTGTTAAGACGTAATAAGAGTAGCGAGGCAATAGAACCCACCCCATAGCAGGGAGAGCTGCCACAAGTTGAATATGTTTTATTGGAAGCTATTTGGGCTTCATGGAAATGATCATCCCACAGATTTTTTGTGTTTGAGTGTATATAAGCCCTTTTTGAAAAGTATAGAGCTTGAGGAGGATTCTTTTAAAGTTTATGAGGAAAAGCCAAAAAGTCCCTAAAAGGAAATTCTTATCTCTGACACAGTTATATAGAAATTTGGGGGGAACCTAGAGGCTTCCAAAAGAAAGAGAAAACAGAACCAGTGAAAAGATGTGTCATGAGATTGTGCTATGTGTTGGGTGAAGGAACTACATAGAATCTGGATTTCTCCTAAGTATGAAGTAATTAGTTAAGGGGAAACAACTTGGATTAGGAAGAAATGTAATAAAAAGCCCAGTTCATCTTTCAGTTTTTGGTCTGGCATGTAAGGAGATTGGAAGTTATTCTGTCAACACAACATGAAAAAGCTCAACACACTTAAAATGAACAATGCTTTCTGATCCATCAGAAAATTGAGGTCACAGACCAAACTGCTGCCTGCCACAAGTTGGAAAAACAGACAGATACAGAGAATCACAACTTACTAGAGCAAAATCCATAAACAGAAACCTTACTGATAATGGATACCAACCTAAACTGTAATTAGCTAATTTCAGGAGGCTGAGTTTTGGCAATTTGAGAATTAAAAACTAATGGATTTTTCCTTTTTGATTAACATTGCTTTGGATATTCAGGCACTTTTTTTGGTTCCATATGAATTTTAAATTTTCTATTTCTGTGAAAAATGACATTGGTAGTTTGATAGGAACAGCATTGAAGCTGTATATTGCTTTGGGCAGTATGCCCATTTAAATGACATTGATTCTTTCTATCCACAAGCATGGAATGATTTTTCCATTTGATTTTGTCATCCATGATGTCTTTCCGCAGTGTTTTTTACTTTTCCTTATAGAGATTTTTTACCTTCTTGGTTAAATGTATTCCTAGATTTTTTGCATGTGTGTGTGTGTACCTATGGTAAATGGGATTATGTTCTTGATTTTGATCTCAGCTTAAACGTTATTTGTATATAGAAATGCTTCTGATTTTTGCACACTGATTTTGTATCCTGAAACATTATTGAAGTCATTTGTCAGTGCTAGGAACCTTTTGGCAGAGTCTTTAGGGTATCTCAGGAATGAAATCAGTGAAGAGACTATTTCTTTTCCAATTTGGATGCCTTTTATTACTTTCTCTTGCCTAATTGCTCCAGCTAGGACTTCCAGTACTATGTTGAATAGGAGTGGTGAGAGTGGGCATTCTAATGAACAAAGCTGGAGTCATCACATTACCCGATACCAAGCTATACTACAAGGTTAAAGTAATCAAAACAGCATGGTACTTGTACAAAAAACAGACACATAGACAAACTGAATAGAATAGAGAACCCAGAAATAAAGCCACACGCCCGCCACCATCTAGTCTTTGACAAAGTCAACAAAAATAAGCAAGGGGGAAAATGACCCCCTATTCAGTAAGTGGTTGTGAGATAACTGGCTAGCCACCTGCAGAAGAAGGAAACTAGACTCCTACTTTTCACCATACTCAAAAATTAACCAAGATAGTTTAAAGACTTAAATGTAAGATCTAAAACTATAAAAATCCAAGAAGAAAACCTAGGAAACACCGTTCTGGCTAAGTTCTCAAAGGCAATTGCAACAAAAACAAAAATTGACAAGTGGGATCTAATTAAATTAAAGAGCATCTGCACAGCAAAAGAAAGTATGAACAAACAGACAACATACAGAATGGAATAAATTATTCACAAACTATGAATCCAACAAAGGCCTAATATCCAGAGTCTACAAGGAGTTTAACAAGCAAGAAACAAATAGCCCCATTAAAAAGTGTGAGCAAAGGACACGAACAGATACTTCTCAAAAGAAAACATACACATGGCCAACAAATGTATTAAAAAATGTTCAACATCACTGAACATTAGAGAAATGTGAATCAAAACTACAATGAGATATCATCTCACACCAGTCAGAATGGGTATTACTAAAAAATAGAAAAATATAGTATGTTGGCAAGACTGTAGAGAGAAGTGAGTGCTTACACACTGTTTGTGAGAATATAAATCACTTAAACCACTCTTTCAAGCAGTTGGAGAATCTCAAAGAACTTAAAATAGAACTACCATTTAATCCATTAAATCAATTACAGAATATAGACCTAAAGGAATATAATTTGTTCTAACAAAAAGAGACATGCACTTATATGTTCATTGCAGCACTATTCACAATAGCAAAAGCAAGGAATCAACCTAGATGCTCACCAATGGTGAGTTGTATAGAGAAAATGTGGTTCTTATACACCAGGAGACACTACATAGCCATAAAAGAATAAAATCCTCTCCTTTGAAGCAACATGAATGCAGCTGGAGGCCTTTATCCTAAGCAAGCCACCACGGAAACAGAAAACCAAATATTGCATATTGTCACTTCTAACTGTGAGCTAAACTTTGAGAACACTAAAAATGGAAAAAATACTGGGGACTACTAGAGGGCAAGAGAGAGGAGGTGAAGGTTGAAAAACTATCTATTGAGAAGGGAAGCCATGAGGGACTGTGCTATCCGGCCCAGATATTATGCTTTTCCCGAGGTTTTTGCAATCCACAGACCAGGAGATTCCGTCGTGTGCTGATACCGCCAGGGCCCTGGGTATCAAGCACAAAACTGAGCAGCTGTTTGGGCAGACACTAAACTAGTGGCAGGAGTTTTTTGCTTGCTTGTTTGTTTGTTTTTGTTTTTGTTTTCATACTCCAGTGGCACCTGGAACCCCAGTGAGACAGAACCGTTCATTCCCCTGGAAAGGGGGCTGAAGCTAAGGAGCTAAGTGGTGTCACTCAGCAGGTCCCACTACCGTGGAGCCCAGCAAGCTAAGAATCACTGGCTTGAAATTCTCGCTGCCAGCAAAGCAGTCTGAAGTCAACCTGGGACGATTGAGCTTGGTTTGGGGAGGGCCATCTGCCATTACTGAGGCTTGAATAGGAGGTTTTTCCCTGACAGTACGAAGGAGGCCAGGAAGCTTCGACTGGGTAGAACTCACCACAGTGCGGCAAAGTGGCTGTGGCCAGACTGCCTCCCTAAATTCCTCCTCACTGTGAAGAGCATCTCTGAAAGAAATCCAGCAGCCCCAGTCAGGTGTTTATAGATAAAACTCCCATCACCCTAGGTCAGGGCACCTGGGGGAAAGGGTGGCTGTGGACGCAGTTCAGTGGACTTAAATGTTCCTGTCTGCTGGCTCTGAAGAAAGCAGCAGATCCTGACAAAAAAGATTCTCCCAGCACAGCACTCAAGCTCTATCAAGGGATAGACTGCCAACCGAATCTAGCAGCACATCAAAAGAGTATCCACCACAATCAAGTCAGCTTTATCCCTAGGATGCAAGGCTGGTTCAACATAGGCAAATCAATAAATGTAATCCATCATATAAACAGAACCAATGACAAAAACCACATGATTATCTCCATAGATGCAGAAAAGGCCTTTGATAAAATTCAATACCCCTTCATGCTAACATCTCTCAATAAACTAGGTATTCATGGAACATATCTCAAAATAATAAGAGCTATTTATAACAAACCCATAGCCAATATCATACTGAATGGGCAAAAGCTAGAAGCATTCCCTTTGAAAACCAAGACAAGACAAGGATGCCTTCTCTCACCACTCTTATTCAACATAGTATTGGAATTTCTAGCCAGGGCAATCAGGCAAGAGAAACAAATAAAGTGTATTCAAATAGAATGAAAGGAAGTCAAATTGTCCCTGTTTGCAGATGACCTTATTGTATATTTAGAAAACCCCATCGTCTCAGCCCAAAATCTCCTTAAGCTGATAAGCAACTTCAGCAGTCTCAGGATACAAAATCAATGTGCAAAAATGACAAGCATTCATATACACCAAAAACAGAGAAGCAGAGAGCCAAACCATGAGTGAACTCACATTCACAAATGCTACAAAGAGAAAAAAATACCTAGGAATACAACTTACAAGGGATGTGAAGGACCTCTTCAAGGAGAACTACAAACCACTGCTCAAGGAAATAAGAGAGACACAAACAAGTGAAAAAAAAATTCCATGCTCATGATAGGAAGAATTAATATCATGAAAATGGCCATACTGCCCAAAGGAATGTGTAGATTCAATGCTATTCCCACCACGCTACCACTGACTTTCTTCACAGAACTAGAAAGTCAAATTTAACTACTTTAAATTTCATATGTAACAAAAAAAGAGCCCATATAGCCAAGACAATCCTAAGCAAAAAGAACAAAGCTGGAGGCATCACACTACCTGACTTCAGCCTATATTACAAAGCTACAGTAACCAAAACAGCATAGTACTGGTACCAAAACAGATATATAGACCAATGGAACAGAACAGAGGGCTCAGAAATAACACTATACATCTACAACCATCTAATCTTTGACAAAACTGACAAAAACAAGTAATGGGGAAAGGATTCCCTATCTAATAAATGGTTCTGGGAAAACTGGCTAGCCATATGCAGAAAACAGAAACTGGACCCCTTCCTTACACCTTATACAGGAATTAATACTCAAGATGGATTAAAGATTTAAACATAAAATCTGAAATTATAAAAAACACTAGAAGAAAACCTAGGCAATACCATTCAAGACACAGGCATGGGCAAAGACTTCATGATTAAGACACCAAAATCAATGGCAACAAAAGCCAAAATTGACAAATGGGATCTAATTAAACTAAAGACCTTCTGCTCAGCAATATAAAGTGTCATCAGAGTGAACAGGCAACCTACAGAATGGGAGAAAATTTTTGCAATCTATCCACCTGACAAAGGGCTAATATCCAGAATCTACAAGGAACTTAAACAAATTTACAAGAAAAAAACAAACAACTGCATCAAAAAGTGGGCAAAGGATATGAACAGACATTTCTCAAAGACATTTATGCGGCCAACAATCATATGAAAAAAGGCTCATCATCACTGGTCATTAGAGAAATGCAAATTAAAACCACAATGAGATACCATCTCACACCAGTTGGAATGGCAGTTATTAAAAAGTTAGGAAACAACAGATGCTGGAGAGGATGCGGAGAAGAAGGAATGCTTTTACACTGTTGGTGGGAATATAAATTAGTTCAACCATTGTGGAAGACAGTGTGGAAATGCCTCAAGGATTTAGAACCATAAATACTATTCGACCCAGCAATCCTATTACTAGGTATATATCCAAAGGATTATAAATCATTCTACAATAGAGACATATGCACACATATGTTTAATGCAGCACTATTTACAATAGCAAAGACTTGGAACCAACTCAAATGCCCATCAATGATAGACCAGATAAAGAAAATATGGCACATATACACCATGGAATACTATGCAGCCATAAAAAAGAATGAGTTCATGTCCTTTGCTGGGACATTGATGAAGTTGGAAACCATTATTCTCAGCAAACTAATACGGGAACAGAAAACCAAACACTGCATGTTCTCACTCATAAGTGGGAGCTGAACGATGAGAACACGTGGACACAGGGAGGGGAACATCACACACCTGAGCCTGTTGGGAGGTGGGGGGCTAGGGGAGGGATAGCATTAAGAGAAATACCTAATGCATGTGGGGTTTAAAACCTAGATGATGGGTTGATAGGTGCAGCAAACGACCATGGCACATGTATACCTATGTAGCTGCACATTCTGCTCATGTATCACAGAACTTAAAGTAAATTTAAGTAAAAATAAGTAAGTAAGTAAATAAATAAATAAATAAATAAATAAATAAATAAATAAATAATGAAAACTACCTGTTGAGTACGATGTTCACTACCTGGGTTACAGGATCATTCATACCCCAAACCTCAGTTTCATGCAATATGCCCATGTGACAAACTTGCATAGATACCCTCTGACCTAAAATAAAAAAGGAAATAAAAGAAATAAAATGAAATATAAAAGGAAATCTCCTGGGATTACAGACTTAAGGAACATTCAAATTATGGTAGGTTTTACCTGTAAGAACTTTATCAGGTTCTCACAATGAATATTGGAGAAAAATCCCCTTGTGCTTATAGTAGGAAGAGGGTAAAACAGCCATTTTAAAGTGTATGCCTAGAACATTCTGTTCTACTTGTATCCCTCAAGAAAACCTATTTCACCAGATCCTAACCTACTAGAATTTTACCAGAGTCCAACCTATCCTGGGCTCTCCAACACATTCCCCACTAGCCTTTTATATAGGGGAAGGGGAATACCCAACTTGAGCCTACTCTAGCCTTCCTGCCTCAACTAAGGGTGTGGAAGGACTTAAAAAGTACTTATGATGTTCACAGTCCAGGGGCAGTAGCTCCCTAAGACCTAATCATAAGATTATAGAACACCTTGCTTTCTCCTCAACTTACTACCATAATAGTTCACCTGTTGTATAAATAATAACAGGGAAATATGACAGAAAAACCTGCAAATCTCAGACTTTACTTAATAAGTTTACAGAACATCAAAGACAACAAGGGAAACAAAACCAAGGTCACCAGAGAAGATGTTAGCCTCTGAAACTTATAGCTACAGAAAATGGTAAGCACAGCCTAATCTCTACCCAGATAAACACAAACCTTCACTTTACCTCAGCTCCTTGTACCCAATAAAACATGTCCAGCTTTCAACCAAAAATTACAAGTCACACTAAAAGGCAAAAAACAAAATTTGAACACCTACTGAGCAAACATCAGAACAAGACTCAGATGTGGCAGAGATTTTGGAATTGTCAGCCTAGAACTTTAAACAACTATAGGCTAAAAGCTCTAATGAAAAAAGCGGTCAACATGTAAGAATAAATGGGCAATGGTAGCAAGAAAACAGAAAATCCAAGAAAGAAACAAAAAAATGTTCGAAATGTAAAATCCTGTAACAAAAAGTGAAGGATTTACTTAATGGTCTCATCAACTGACTGAATACAGCTGCTTAGGAAAGAATCAGTGAGCTTGACTAAATGTCAATAAAAACTTTAAAAATGGAAATGCAAATAAAAAAGAAATGAAAAAACGAGAAGCTGCAACGAGGGAAGTTATATGAGTAGCAAAAATTACGTAGGAGGAAATAGAGAAAAAGAATGCAGCAAAGCAGAATAATAAATATGGTTAGGATAGGAACTAGGTTGGGGAATCCTGGAGAGCTTTGTTTCAACATTTTGGGTAGAAGCTGACTGCTTCATGTCAATTACTAAGACTAAATTTCTTGGTAAACCTATTTACTGATAGTACAATCTGCTTCTGGGAACTCTTGACAGAGCTTCAGTTGAAGGTGTCTAATTGGGGTAGCCATTTATTTAGAGTAGCTTTTGTGCCTTTTCCATTTAATTCAGGGTTTGGTTCTTAGAGTCTGGCAGCAGTAATAGTGGTAAGGCAGATGAGGTAAGGGCCTTTTTAGAGAGTTTTAAGATTAGTTTCCCAGTGATGTCACTTCCAGATAACCTAAGTCTCTAACACTGGTTGATTAAACAGCCTTGATCTGTTGATGATAAGTGCGGGTATAATTAATAAGTCTCTTGCAATATTTTAAGATGTCTGAATGGTTAGGTTAGAATCTATGAGAGCCCAAGCAAAATAGGGAATTTTTCTGGGTTGGCCAGTTATCTTTTTATATGGGAACAGTTGGTGTTACTCAGCACAGGACTGGAGGGCAAACAGGGCTGAGGGTTTATCAAGATCAAGAGGACCTTAATGCTTCCCAAAGCTTGGTTCAATATTGGAGAGGCTTCTCTCTGCCTCTAGGTCTCGGACCTCCTTCTGTTACTGAATTAAGACAGCCTAACCGCAATGATCTTTCCTCCTGCTGCTCCTGTGAGATATAAAGGCATTTTCCAGCTCACATCCCAGGAATGCCTATCTCAAATACTTGGGAGCTATCCTTTTGAAATGTAATAGTCGAGAAAGATAGAGCCTCTATCGCCAGGGCTCTGTAGTAGAAGTCTGACTTAATAGATTCCTAGCTTCAAACACTACCACCACCTCCTTCCTCTCTTTCCCCTTCTAGTAGTCCTCTGTTGTCCCCATCTTTATGTCCACGTGTACTCAACGTTTAGCTCACACTTAGAAGTGAGAATATGCAATATTTGTTTTTTTGTTCCAACATTAACTTGCTTAGGATAAAGGCTTCCAGCTGCACCCATGTTGCTTCAAAAGACAGGATTTTGCTCTTTTTATGGCCGTGTAGTATTCCATGGTATATACATGGAATGACACGTAGATACAAGGAAGTTTACTTTTCCTCTGGATAAGGCCAATTAGCATTTTTGGAAGACAAAATTTCCAAGTTGCCAGGTTTGAACACTTGGCTATAGAGGATTATGTATTGTTGTAAAACAATACTTTGTTTTTTATTTAATCAAAGTGACAAAAAAATTAAAGTAAATATAAGACGTATATGATTGTAAAAATCCTTTAGTGCTTTTAAAAATGAGAAGACTTGGTTCTCTTAAATAACCAAAGATATGATAAAGTTAATATAAAGTACACAAAATTATTCTAATGACATAGAAACTTCTACTTAGAAACAGATCACTCAGAAGGTAAAGGAAAATCATTCATAACCTCTTATCAAAAGCAGACCAATAATCCAAGAAAATGTTATCATTTTAACAGAGAAAAACCAAATTCTATTTTTTATCAACATGCTATAAATACTAAGGCTTTAAAAAAAACCTTTTAAAATCTTATAAAGTCCGAATTGTACCCCCAACTCACCTGTCTTAACCACAATAAATAAAATTCCATGAACCTTCTACATGTTTTCATATCCATTCAAATGTTATACTTCATTTTTCCCCTTTTTCTTTCTGAATCAAGTAGTTCTTTTAGCTCAGGACAGAATCACTGTTTTTTACTTAATAAAAACATATTTGGCATACTTTGCATCCAAAGTTTCTTTCTTGTGCCATTAATCAAATTCTATGAAAGGCATCTGCTTGGGCTATAGTATTGTTACCTTTAATTGCACTAACATGAAATGGCAGATGTATTAAATATCTTGAAATAATTATATATCATCTGTTAGCACCTAGTGGAGTTGGGAGAGAAATTTTGCAACAGATTCTTTTGGCCACTTAGTTTTATTTGAAATTTCATGTGTAACATTGTCATTTTTTTGTATACCAGACTGGTAAATAAAGCTGATATTTTCTTTTTTAATAATTATTTAAGAAAAAAACTATTCCCTATGTTAATTTTGTATCAGTGACTTACTATCTTAACAAGACAAAACTGTTTAAAATTAAATATTTTTCAATGACATTTTCATTTAAAAATTCAAACATTAATTATGACAGTATTTTATTCACCATATTTTTTACTTGGATTCTATTGCCATAATTTTTGGCAGTACGGAAGCTTTCAGGCATTGCTTAATTATTGACACAGAACCCTTCATAAAAATTCATAAGAAATTTTATCAATTTTTGTTCTTTGCATGTTTAATAAGATAGTCAAATATAAGTGATTTCTGAAAAAATAGAATTGGTTGCATAAAGATTGAATTTAAAGGAAAATATATTTTATCATGAATTGCAAACATAATTAGGTAATAGAAATGTAAAAGTTAACATATGGCCTATTAAATATATTAAGAGATTTACTCTGTGATCATTTTGATTATATATTCTAACAAAGAAAACATCCCAAAACATACTTAAGATTTAAACCAATATCCTCTTAAAATAAAATAATTTTCACTCTTTCTAGCCATAGTTGCTCATCTGGGAAAAGGCATAAAAACTCATTAATCTTTTATGACATTCATTCTACTCTGAGCACTTCTATAAAAATTTAAACTTTTATGTTTATGGGATTCTAAGGTTTCAAGAAGATTTTCCTAAATATCACAAAAAGTGTTTTTTGCTTTGTTTGACTTTTATAAGTTTTAAGACTACCTGAACTATGTTAAAATAAATGACATGGGGTATGCTTTCTAGCCAGCATAATTCTTGTTAAGTAAAAATGAGTACTATTCATATATATATATTCCATTTTGATGTAGCAATTTGGAAGATATTGCTCTCATGTTCAGCTTTATTATTATGATACACAGAACCCCATTAAATTTTAAACTTTCATTCTCTTTGAGTTCATTAAACCACATGCATATTCTGATAACCTCAGATTCATTGGTTTATCTCTGTGAGTCAAGCGGTGTTTTGTTTGTTTTTTGGCTTACATCCTTATCCCAGATTAAATTCATTTGAGGGCCACGTATGAATGATTAAAAAATAAACACTGAACATATTTTGCAACTTATTTCAGTATTAAAAATTTTAGATAGGTGAAAAAGAAATTTGAAAGTGTAATTAGAGTTGTTGTAAATGATGTAACAACATAACTTTTGTTTGTTTTAAACTCTGCTTTACCTTCACAAAAGTTATGAGTAAAATTATAATTGAAACATTATCTTTCCACATGTATTATCTGTAATTCTTCTGGTAAAGAATACCTTTTGTTCATTATCTGGGACTATTTTGTCATCATCTTGTAGAATTCTTAGAAACACAAGATAAAGACGAAATACCTCCCCACCACTTCCCAGTATTAAGGAGTTGGTATAAAATCTACTTCCAATATTGGAAGGTGAGATTTTTCAATTTTTCTTTCTCCTTTTGTAGTATCATTGTAGATTCATGGATTTTTGTACATTTGATGTATTTCAAATGCTTACTTTTTTCAATATAAAATTTCCCCTAATTTGACCTTTGAGAGACATTTAAGCTTCTTCTTTTACTATGTTGAAAAGTGCACATTAGTTTTCCTTACTGGCACAAGATATATATGTATCCATCTGCATATTTTCTGACTCAAATATAGATTCAGTAATCTCTGCAAGGAGCTTGGAACACATTAAATTTATGTCACATTGGGCATGTAGTCAAAATACTGTATTATAAAACTACTTAAAATTATTCTTTTTTCATTACAGTTATAAAGCCAATTTAATGTAGTTAGTGTCATTTGTTTTAGTTTACTTTAAATTTTAATTATCACTTGTTGTATAGTGAATTTTATATTTGAATATAAAAACAACTTACAAGGTTTAGATGAAAATTCATGTAAGTGGTTATACTACAAGTAGATTTTTTTGCAAGTCTTGTCTCCTACTTCATTTCTAAAACCTACTCCCCAAAATATCTGATTTTAATGGCTTCTCCTTTACTCTTCAAGTGATTTTTTTAGATGAATGGTTGGATAGATAAATGATAGATAGATAAAGATATAGAGAGATAGACAGATAGATGGATAGATAGAAACTGACATTATTTTAACTTGGCGTATGCATATACATAGTTGAATTGTATTCACCAAAAATGTATGTCCAAGTCCTAACATCTGGTGTCTGTGAATGTGACCTTATGTAGACATAAGATCTTTAATTTAAAGATTTCCAGCTGGGCGCGGTGGCTCACGCCTGTAATCCCAGCACTTTGGGAGGCCGAGGCAGGTGGATCACGAGGTCGGGAAATCGAGACCATCCTGGCTAACGCGGTGAAACCCTGTCTCTACTAAAAATACAAAAAATTAGCTGGGCGTGGTGGCGGGTGCCTGTAGTCCCAGCTTCTCGGGAGGCTGAGGCAGGAGAATGTCGTGAACCCAGGAGGCAGAGCTTGCAGTGAGCCGAGATCGTGCCACTGCACTCCAGCCTGGGCGACAGAGCGAGACTCCGTCTCAAAAAAAAAAAAAAAAAAAAGATCTCAAGATAAGAGCATAGTGCATTTTGGATAGGCCTTGATTCCTATGACTGTTGTCCTTTTATGAGACAGGAGAGGGAGATTTGAGACACAGGAGCACAGAGAAGAAGCCTATCTGAAGACACACGTGAAGAGAGAGACAGAGACTGGAGACATACTGCCACAAGCCAAGAAATGCCACGGGCTTCCAGAAGGTGAAAGAAACAAGAAATGATTAATACTTACGGCTTTTGAAGGGAGACTAGCCCTGCCAACAATTGAATTTTAAACTTCTGGCCTCCAGAATATGAAAAAAAAATTCTGTTTTAAGCCACGTTTTTACAGACAGGTTACAGCACCCCGAAGAAACTAATTATACACACACACACACACACACACACACAGACTTTCTTAAAGCAAAGCTATAGAAAATATTTTCTATTTTGTTGTGCTTACTAACAATAAATTATTGATTTCATTTTATTTTCAAAATATAGAGTTATCTTTAATTCTGTATCTTTTAAATAGCTGCAGAGCAATGCACTTTGATGATATGGCATGTTTTAGTATCAGTGTTTTGTTTTTCTGTAGGCTGATAACAATGGCACATTGTCAAACATATAGAAATTTGTAGATATTATAAATGAAATATTACCTAAAGGTAATAATAATTTGGATTTATATAATTATGCGTGAGATTAAATATGCTAATAGCTGCTTTCATTTATCTCTGAACTAATCTGTTCATAAATTTTGGTCAATTTTTATTGAGTTATTGGTCTTTTATGTTTTGATCCCTACAGGTATTATTTTTAGTGATATTAGTGAAAAACATTTACTAATTTTTCCTTTGCATTTTGAGTCTGATTGGAGTGTTGTTGCCATATCAGTACTTTTAGCCTTTATATGGAAAAGTTATAAATACTTTATTGACATTGAATTTCATTTAAACAAAATCTCTTTCTTTACTTTGTAATTTTTTTCCTTTGCAATTTCTTTTAAAATTTTTAACTAATATTCAATTGAAGATTACTTGATGGAATTTTTTAAAGCCAGTATCCTTTTTTCAACATTATTTTTAAATTCCACTTTGTTACCTGATACTTTTAGATGCTTTTCATTAATATATAGAAAGTTTCTCTATATACTGGACTATTTTCTGATCCATTAGTGTGTATGCGCACAAACGTACACAGTGTGCACACATATGTATGTCCATGTAGGCACACACATACATATTCATAAGCTAATGCCTCACTCTTTCACATAACTATCTACTTTGGTGGATTTTCTGCTGTCAACTTTACACTAGAAACAATCCCTTATAATTTTGCTAACATGTTTATTAGAATCTTTTTGATGTTCCTCTTTTTGGTTTAGAGTTGTTAAATGAGAGGAACTCTGAATGAACTTTGGAAGGCCAAAGTTAAACGTGTTTATTCTTGAACTGATGTGGTGGCCAGATATAGCAGCTTCACAGACCTCTCCGTGTTGGTGACAATAAGATATGGCAGTTTCCAGAGTGTCTTTGACTTTCTCTGTGTGGTGACAGTTGCCACATGTGGATTCTAGTACTCACCCTTTGACCTCTGGCTTCTCTATCGACTCCAGTGATGCAAGCTGAATTTATCAGGTCTTCTTTTCTCCATATTCATTTATTCGGTTACGCTGACATTTCAGTCAGTTTTACTTTATGCATTAGACACCTTTATTTCTATTGTACATGTGGTGTATTGTAATATCATGTAATCCAAATACTTTCTAGTATGCTTTAGTATCTCAAGAGGCTGACCCCCACTCTATTGTTATTTTTCAGTTTTTTTTTTTTGGCTACTCATAGCTATCACTTGTATATAAATTCTTTAGCTAACTTGGATAGCTTTAGAAAGAAATAATTTGAGATTTTGTTCAGATTTAATTTAATGTATAAATTAATCTTGGAAAAAGAGACATCTCTATGTTGTTGCACCTGGTATGAATTTCCCATCATTCAAATGTACTTTGGTGTGTCTCATAAGTACTTTAAAGTTTTAGGTGTGTAGACTTTGCACTTTCTACTTCATTTTATTGCTAAGACTTTCACATTTTGTTATGTGCCTTATTTTATGTCTTACCACATCATTTGTATACATACATATGATTCATTTCTGTATGTAGATTTTACATCCTATTACCTTAATGAATGTTCTTATGGTATTTAATATTTTACTTATTGATTTTGTCTTTTTTTTCCTGAACATTCTGTTTTGTCATAAGTGAACAGAGATAGTTCTGCCTCCTTTTCTAAGCCTTATTACTCCAATAGCTGGTCTTAACTAAATGCATTGACTACTGCTTCAATATAGTACTTAATATTAAGAATCACAATTTATATGCTTTCTTTTCTTAAACACAGCAGAGAAAAATATATGACTCCATTGTTGAGATTTTGTTCTGTGGAATGTTAGAAAAATAATAATTTAATTCTGATTAACTGAGACATTTACTTAGAAAAGGATTGGAATCTTATAAAATTTTTTTTTCAGAGTTTGTTAATAGGTATATGCTATTCCTCCTCGGCTCTATTAATATAGTAAATATGATTTCCAATACTGAAACTTGCTTACATTATTGGAATTAGTCTCACTTGTGCAGTGGATATAGTCTACCAGTTATGAAGATATATATTTTAGCTAACATAGTTAAGAATTGAACTATACATATGTGAGCCAAGTATTTATTATAATTTTTTTCTTATTGATTTGATTTTGAATTTTAAAATTATTTTTCCTGAAATATTTACTTTTACTTCTCATTGTCTTCTTAAATGTTCATGTATGTCCACTTCTTGTCACTTGTGGCTAGAGTTAGCTAGAGGGCTCCACTTTCATAGGCCTGAACGATGTGTGGCCCATGTAGATATCTGAAAAACAACAATTTTCTCAATAATAGGTCATTATATTCAACTACTTGATATCCTTTTTACTCACAGTGATGAGCAGTGGGTGATAGCAACATTTATTTTCAGAGCAGATTCTATTCTATTGTTATGGTCAGCTGGCAAACTCTGCTCGTTACAACTTCTCTCACACAATTAATTTCTCCAAGCATGGATCCATTTCAGTCTTCGTGAGTGGAATCAATTCTAGAGGATGATGGTGTAGGCAAGAGAAAAATTTCTTTCCTCCAACCTCCTAGGTTCTTTGGCTGATCTACAAATTAAATTGACATAAGACAGATCAACAGGAGAAAACCCACAATTAATTTCCTAAGTACCCCTGATAGTCCCACAGAATATGAGACTCAAAGAACAACCAGATGATTGAAGCTTATGTAGTATCCTAAGTTGCAGGAAGGAAAAGGGGATTTGGGCTTCTGAGGGGTCAGAGTGGAGACAAGTTATGGGGTCAAGAAGGAGAGGAAATGTATGGGGAATAAAGTTAATCTTGTTATACAGATAAAAAGTCTATCCGGTAATAAAAGTTGTCTGGAGCAAACTTCTTTCTGATACAGATACGGTTACTTACCTAGATTTTCTTTACACAAGTTCATTCTCTTTGTGAAAGGACAGCTTTTCAGAGCTACTCCTGTGTCTGTAGTTTCTCAATATAATGTGCTGTAAATAAGCTTCAAATGTATATTTTAGGGTGCCATAACTGGCCTCCCGCAGTCGTCCTTTGGTGTGAGCCCAATAATGGCAGTTCGCATCCAAGTCTCCTATACACTCTTTCTAACAAGAATACAGAGAGATACAGAGAAAAATTAAAACATACATAGATGTCAGAAAAAACTAAAAGTCACAATTTATTTCATTCCATGTATTATTTATTTCATCCTGGCAAAAGGTGATGGATGAACAGAGAAAGCAGAGCCTCCATAGCATTGAGAAGAAGCTGTAAGACTTCACCTAGAGTCCATTCTCACAAAGATAAGACTCCTGCCACAGTGGAAACAGCTCAAAGTATAAACAAGGCCTGAAGGATCAGATCAATAAGAAAGTAAAAGGAAAGGGCGTTTGGAAAAAATGCAAGAAAACAATTTGAAACTAAGTACTGTAGAAAGAAGAGGGTTGCTCCAGGCCAGGAGTTTGTGATCAGCTTGAGCAAAATAGTGAGATCTTGTCTTTATAAAAAATAAAAATTTAAAAAAAACTGTAGTATATTTTTCTTTAAACATTTTTCTTTAAACATTTAAACAAAAGGCACTTTTGGAGACAGTCTAAGAGGAAAGGCTGAAGTGGTGTGGAGATGGTCATTTCCTTGTGAATGGGATTATAATTTAGCTCAAAATCTGAGCATAAATTTTGATTTGGTTTGTAGTTTGGGATAAAGATTATTTATTTAGAATAGTTTATATAAAAATTCCTTTAGAGTGGCATAGATTTAGAAATGTAGGTTAGTGTATATAAATAAATTTTACAGGCAAGAAATTTGAAAGCTACCTGGTATTATTATCAAGATTACCCAAACTAAATCAAGTCAAAATCATTTTGGACAACTATTTTAAAAAAAGAAAAAACAAAAAGAAAAGCTATAGTTATTTTTAAATCAGCTTTCCTTTTTCTTCAACGTCAAGAGCCATAGCAGATGTATTAGTTAATCCCTGAGTATTTTTTATCTTGCTTTCCTCTTCAGGGGAATCTTGAATTAATTTAGTACCCTGTGAATTCAGCTTACATTCTCATTTTCCTAAAGGTGAAGAAATTCTTAATTTGAACTGGTCCAACTTATCAATCTTTTCTTCGTATTAGTGACTTGACATCCTATTTATGAAAACTTTTTCTACTTTACAATCATGCAGATAATCTCTATAATCATCTATGTATTTTTATATTTTTATTTAATATTGTGTAAGATGGGATGTTTCACATTTTATTCCAAATAAGAAAGCATTATTTTTTTGAAAAAAAATCAAAACTTTCCTCATAGTTTAGTGTTTACACCATTTTTATAAATATAGAAGCAACATATGTACAAGTCCATTATTCACTATTCTGTCACAATAGTGTATCTCTTCATTTCTGGTCAATAATATAATGCCTTAATTAATGTAACTGCTATCCAGTAGAGAAAGCCCTCTGTCAGTTATGGGAATATATGCAAATAAAATTCTGCAATATGTTAAAAGTATTTTTGCTTTTGAATTAATTTAGTACTATGTAAAACAATGTTAAGATGCAGCTTTAATCCTCATTTCTTAAAGATGAAAAAATTCAAAACTATATTTTGTTTATTTGAGAGAATCAAGATGGTCTAAAAATTTGAAAATCAGCCAGTCATTCAGTGCCTCTACAACTACAGTTGTCTTCAGGTGGATTAAAAAATGTGATATAAGGATGTTAACATCATATATTCTCTCCCATATTTTGATGCACGGATTTGTTTCTGCCTAGTTCTTTTCCTTACAGGATCCTAACAGTCAACCAGCTCTTTGGCCGCTTCCTGAGAGTCAATATGTATTCTCAGCTTGATCCTCCATACAAAAAAACCAATGAAAGTGGGAAGCACTTGAAGTTTTATCGTCTACTGGAATAATTTTTCCTTTCCACTGTCCTTCAAGTCCATCCTGAATGTCACTGTACTGAAAGTACTATCCATTTTTTAACTTGCACACACAACTCATATTATTCACAGAAAAGAGGAGATATTCATAAAATTGTGTTAATATTAGCACTAAAAGTGTTTATAGAATTTAAAATCCATTCATAATGAAAATAGCTTCTCAAATCTTATAAACAATCTCTACAAGAATTCTCCAGCACACATGATACAAAATGAAGTGTTAAAATTTTTTCCGAGATAATAAATTTGACCAAAATAAAACCTTTTGTTAAACATTTTACTAATCTTATCCAAAATGCTTTGGACCAAAATTGTTTGGATTTTAGTTTTTTCTTTGTTTTTGTTTTTTGTTTTAATGCAGTGGCACAGTCATATCTCACTATAGCCTCGAATTCCTGTGCTCAAGTGATCCTCCCACATCAGCCTCTCAAGTAGCTATAACTAGAGGTATGCCACTGTGCCTGTTTAATTTTTTTTTTCTTTTTTACAGAGATGGAATCACACTATGTTTCCCAGGCTGGCCCCAAAACTCCTGGCCTCAAGTGCTCCTCCTGCCTCAGCCTCCCAACACACTAAGATTACAGGTGTGAGCCACCATGCCTGGCCTATTTTCATTCCCAGCCTCACCTTGCTTGCTCCTTTGCCTCTTTTCCTCATGATCAACTCACAAATGTACTTCTTGCATTTGAATCTTTTATTGATGAAACTTAACAGGCTTATTCTAAACTTTAAATGGCAATTTGAGAGGCCACATATAAACAAGACTCTCTGGAAGTATAATAACAAGTTATTTGGAAACATATGTTTGATTTGATTTTACCCTGTTGGATCATTGTCTTTGAAAAATTATTTGGGAAGTTTTTAGGTTTGGGACAAAGGTATATTTCTTAGAGGGCATTTGTGTTTCAATTCGCCAGAAATCTGCAGTACTGCTAATCCGGATGAGCTCAATCACACAGATTGTATGGATCCACGCTCCAAATCCATGTGAGATAAATGCCTTAATCTCAGAGGCAGCTATTTCTTTTTTATCTCCAGTTTCCCCTTAGTGAAAATTAACCTTTCTCTGCTCTTCTCTTTGGAAGGGTGTGGGGTGGACTTTTTCAGGTTCAGTTTTAGCCTGAGCTAACATTGTGAGGGTCTTCCTGTTAGATTTTTATGCTATAAAAGATTCACAATGGTGACATAACTGATATTCCTCATCCCAGGTGATCAACAAAACTAAAGCCCAACGTTTATGATACTGACAAATTTCATAGCTGCATAAAAAGCTGATTTAGTGTTCTTGTGCATCACTGATTTCTGTGTTTCTATTTATCTTTAATTGTACCCTGATTTGTGTCTTCAATCTTATATAGATGTGCTTTACATTTTTAAAAATATTTTACAGCATTTAAAATTATTTGGCAAATTTTTCTGAATAATTTAGCCACTAACAGAAATAAAATGATGCACATTTTTCTTTTTTCTTTAAGATTTATTCATCATCCTTTCATTCTCTCCTCTCTGATACAGAAGGCTGCATCTTACAAACTACATTTTCCAGATGTCTTTTCCCAGAGGCTTCCTCTTGCGTTTGTATAGTAGTAGAGACTAGCAGTATAGAGTAGGAAGAAAGGAGAAGAGAAAGTATTTATCTTCCTCTTCCGTATTTTGAGTAGCATTTCTAATAAGTTACTACATTTCCTCCATGATTCCAGCCTTAGCTGGACACCCTAGCTCTCTAGCTCTGAACGTATCACAAAACTTTTTCTGATCCTTTAGTTCTAGGAGTACCAGTGGCTTTTTGATACCGCAGATCTCAGAGGTAACTCACCATCCTATTTTCCTTTAGCTTCCCATCAACTTTGTCACTAGTTTTCTGTATTAAATTTCTCTATTTTACTACCAGGCACGCCAGCTTCCGTGAATGTCTTACTCACCTGGCCATTATGCATTTTGATAATTTCCAGGTGGTAGATTTTTCTAATCATGTTGCAATAAGCTCTGAAAGTCATTCAGGTTTCAGAGTTACCAAAAAGTTTCCAATACAATTCTTCAAACTTTCACTTAACAAAGTGAAAAGAAGAAACTAAAATAAATCACTAAAAAAAAAAAAGAAAAAGAAAAAGAAAAAAATGCAGCCAGTGAATGACTGGGCTTAAGACAGGAGCACATCTAAGCAGCAGTGTCCATTTCTGCTGCTTTTCAGCAAACCCTCAAGACTGACTCAAAGCAGGAATTTTAGCCCTTGTGTCAATATTTGAGTTATTTTCTGGCTTATAACATTGAAACTTTTCACAAAGCATTCTACAGAAAATATGAATCTCTCCATTTATTAATCCCAGTGTTCACTGAAAATTAAAACATTACTATCATTTATCTAATAATGGTTCCTTGACTTCTATTAAATTGTATTGTTTACTTCATGAATCCAATCTAGATGTGACATTATTAATTTTCATTTTATTATATAACTTTATATATCCTCTTGTTTTTAGCTTTGTTTATAATTTTCTAGGATATATTTGAGCACATCAACATTGATAGTTTTAGGGAAAAATTATTGTTAAATCAAGTGTAGCCTAAAGCTGCCTCCTTACATGTTTTAAGTTCGGTCTAAAGGTTTCTCTTTACATAGTGAACTATAACCTAAATGGAATCGTACACAGATTGTAGCCCACTCTTGTGCCAAACACCAAGTTTTGGCCAATCAAAGGTGGCCAATTCTTCACACTCAAATAAGGCAAATGCCAAGCTGTAACCAATCTGGCTGTTTCTGTAACTCGTTTCCATTTTCTGTGTGTCACTTTCCTTTTTCTGTAACAAATCCTCTTCCACCACGTAGCTGCGCTGGAGTCTCTGAGCCTATGCTGGCTCAGGATGCTGCCAAACTCACGAATCCTTGTTGACTTAATTAAACTCTTTGGAAATTAATTTGGCTATAAGTTTTCCATTTAACATGGTAATGTAAACTATGAAACAAGCTGATTATGAAAGAAGGCCTGGTATAAAAGAGTAAACCTTTTATAAAAAAGAACTTGTTATGTTATTGTTGATTTAATATTGTTAAAATTTTCAGAAATATTTTACAATAATCAGTAAGCTATTTTGATTTGTGGTTTCACAGTTTATGGTTACAATGACCTTGTTAACATATCATTTTCTCAAGTAACTTATTTCTTGAAAAAAAATTTTAACTTTTGTAAGGATGTAATAATAGCACATACAAAAGTGCACTGACACCCAAAATAAACTTCAAGACTTAAACAATTAATCTAACAATTTAGGCTTCATTGTCTTATTTATAAGAAATACAGTGTGAAAATCTGGAAGATACAAATGGCAGACCAAAAACTTGTGTTACCGATCAAAATATAATGTCTATTATTATAACATAATAATATATACATATAATATATTTATATAATAATGTAAATAATATACATTATTTCCTTTAAAATCAATATATAACCACAAATTTTTACTGGGCCAAACTGTTGGATAAATGAATTTTCAAACATTATCTATCCTCCTCATTCACTTTCATTCAGTAGTGTGAAGGTCCTGAGGGTTTTAAAGAGTGTGAAGGCCTCTAACAATGTTCCTCTCTTCTTTGGTTTTAGGGGAAGCCCACTTATGATCTAGCTCAAAGAGCTTCTGCACAGCAAAAGAAACTACCATCAGAGTGAACAGGCAACCTACAGAATGGGAGAAAATTTTTGCAATCTACTCATCTGACAAAGGGCTAATATCCAGAATCTACAATGAACTCAAACAAATTTACAAGAAAAAAACTAACAACCCCATCAAATAGTGGGTGAAGGATATGAACAGACACTTCTTAAAAGAAGACATTTATGAAGCCAACAGACACATGAATAAATGCTCGTCATCACTGGCCATCAGAGAAATGCAAATCAAAACCACAATGAGGTACCATCTCACACCAGTTAGAACGGCGATCATTAAAAAGTCAGGAAACAACAGGTGCTGGAGAGGATGTGGAGAAATAGGAACACTTTTACACTGTTGGTGGGACTGTAAACTAGTTCAACCATTGTGGAAGACAGTGTGGCGATTCCTCAAGGATCTAGAACTGGAAATACCATTTGACCCAGCCATCCCATTACTGAGTATATACCCAAAGGATTATAAATCATGCTGCTATAAAGACACATGCACACGTATGTTTATTGTGGCACTATTCACAATAGCAAAGACTTGGAACCAACCCAAATGTCCAACAATGATAGACTGGATTAAGAAAATGTGGCACATATACACCATGGAATACTATGCAGCCATAAAAAATAATGAGTTCATGTCCTTTGTAGGGACATGGATGAAGCTGGAAACCATCATTCTCAGCAAACTGTCACAAGGACAAAAAACCAAACACCGCATGTTCTCACTCATAGGTGGGAATTGAACAATGAGAACACTTGGACACAGGAAGGGGAACATCACACACTGGGGCCTGTCATGGGGTGAGGGGAGTGGGGAGGGATAGAATTAGCAGATATGCCTAACGTAAATGACGAGTTAATGGGTGCAGCACAGCAACATGGCACATGTATACATAAGAAACAAAACTGCACGTTGTGCACACGTACCCTAGAACTTAAAGTATAACAATAATAATTAAAAAAAAAAGAAGAGTAGCTTTAACCTTTCCATGACAAACTTCAGGGAAAAGAATCGTTATACAAAGTTTTGTTTGTAGAATTAGAAGGCATTTAGGTGTTTGCTGTTAATAAAAGTACTTTCTACCATGGAATGATTGTAGCCAAACTTTCTTCTCTAATTTCAGTATGTTTTTAGTTTTACATTTTTAAAAAATATACCAGCATTATTTAAAAAATACTTCTTTTTATTCTTAAAAGTTGGGAGCATATCTTTATGTACTCTTTGTAATTATAATATAGATTGGATGTCTTACTCTTTTTTCTGTTTAAAGAATTTTGATGGCTTATGAAACTTTTGAGTTAACTTTTGCCTTTATGTTATATTTATTGTAGTTTCATTTTTCATCTCACTGATTTAAGATCTCACCTATATTACATACCTTGGGTTTATTCAGTCTTATCTTTCTAATTTTTAAGCTAAAGGTTTATTTTGGGTCAGAATAGTAAAATTAATATTTAGAATATGGGAGGTTTATTTTCTTATATATGTAATATTCTATATTTAATTTTAATTTTACCAAAATCTTACACAACATAGAGGTAGGATAGACTCAACTCTAGCCTCCTTATAGCTATCTTGTCTCAGCTATAGGACGGGCAAAGAAACACTTGTGAAAGTTACACCCAGGCACGTGAGACCACTAAAAGTCTGAGATTTAATCATAAGAAAATAGAATGCTGCTCACTCCCACACCTATCCTATCAATAGGGCTCTAGTATTGTAACAGAGGACTACAGTTGAAAGTATTGCAAGGTGCAATGTGTAATTAAGAAAGTATTACTAAACAATTATAAACACAAAAGTCAATAAAAACAAGAATATCAGGGCTGAAACCTCTGTACCTATAGCCACAGAAAAAAATTAAACACAGCCTAACTCCTAGCAGATTAACATAATATCTGACATTAAAAATGCATTTCTTCAGTTTCTATTACATAACAGTGGTTACCAACAGAAAATTATAAGTTATGAAAAAAGCAAGAAAAACATAGTTCAAAGATACAAAACAAACATCAGAAACAGACTGAGATGTGATACAGATTTTGGAATTATTAGACAAAGAATTTAAAGTAATATAATGAATCAGTGGAAGACCTTAATAAAAAATGTAGGCAACATTATAAGAACAGATGGTTAATGAAAAAGAGACACTGAAACTCGAAGAAGCACAATAAATTGGTAGAAATTTTTCAAAAAAACTACAACAAAAATAAAAAAATGTCTTTGATGAACTCTTCAGTAAGATAGATATGGTCAAAGAAAGTATAATACATTTGAAATCTGCCAATAGAATCTTCTCATACTAAAACGAAAATAGAAAAAATAATTTAAAACACACAACAGAATCCTGAAGAAATTTGGGTCAATTTCCAAAGATGTAACACACAATTAATCACAATTAATTGGAATACCAGAAGGAGGAGAGAGAGAGAGAGAACTAGAGGCAGAGAAAATATTTGTATTTTGTAAATATGGCATAATATTTGTCATTATTAATGACAGACCAACAACCATAGATCCAGGAAATTTAGTGGACACCAAGCATGATACGTACCAAAACATCTAAAATAATCCAGAAAGGAAAAAAGAAGTATAAAAGAAAAGTAATGATCATTGCATCTGACTTCTCATCAGAAACCATGTAAGCAAGAAGAAAGTGGAGTCAAATAATTGTGTTAAAGAAACAAAAAAAAAAACCCACCAATATCAAATTCTACATCTCATTACATTATTCGTCAATAGTGAAGGAAAAATAAAAACTTCCTCAGACAAACAAAAACCAAAGGAATTTTTATTGTGTCCTGCCATGACAGAGGGAGAGCTCTGGATCTCTTCCTTTTCTTTCTTTCTTTTTTTTCTATTAACTTTTATTTTAAGTTCAAAGCTATTAGTGCAGGTTTGTTACATAAATAAAACTTGTGTCATGGGGGTTGTTTGTACAGATTATTTTATCAGCCAGGCTTTAAGCCTAGTACTGATTAATTATTTTTTCCTGATCCTCTCCCTCTTCCCACCTTCTGCCTCCCAAAAGGCCCCAGTGCATGTTGTTCCCCTCTATGTGTTTATGTGTTCTCATCATTTAGCTCCCACTTATAAGTGAGAACATGCAGTATTTGGTTCTCTGTTACTGTATTAGTTTGCTAAGGATAATGGCCTCAAGCTTCATCCATGTCCCTGCAAAAGACATGATCTTGTTTTTACATAGCTACATAGTATTCGATATATATTTATGTACCACATTATCTTTATTCTATCCATCATTGATGGACATTAAGGTTGATTCCATGTCTTTGCTATTGTAAATAATGCTGCAATGAACATACCTGTGCATTTGTCTTTATAATAGAATGACTTATATTCCTAAGGGTATATACTCAGTAATGAGGTTGTTGGGTTGAATGATATCTGTCTTTTGAGGAATCATCCTACACTGTCTCCCACAATGGCTGAACTGATTTACACTCCCACCAACAGTGTATAACCATTCCTTTTTCTCCACAACCTCGCCAGAGTTTGATTTTTTTAATAGGGTCATTCCACTTGGTGTTAGATGGTATCTCATTGTGGTTTTGATTTGCATTACGCTAATGATAGGTGAGGTTGAGTTTTTTTTCCATATGATTGTTGGCCATCTGTATGCCTTCTTTTGAAAGGTGTTATGTTCATGTCCTCTTCTTATAAGGACATCACCAGCTTTATCATATTAGGACCCTTTCTTTATGACTTCATTTAACCTTTATCACCTCCTCACAGATGTGATCTCTAAATAGAGACACATTGGGGGTCAGCACTTAAACATATGAGTTTTCGGGATCAGAATAATCAGTTCATAACAAATGTGAATTCAATAATGTAAAAAGTAGTATTATATGTCATGTTCAGTTGTGATTTTTTTTCAGATATTCAAGGTTCCTTCACCATTTGAAGAGCAATTGTTCGAATCTATCATATCAATAGGACATAGAAAAATAATCAGAAGAATATATCAAGTGATACAAAAACACTGACAAAAATCAAATATTCAAGATAAAAATATCACTTCAAGACAGAATAATAGCAATGAAAATTAAAGCAGAAATATATTAAGTGGAAACATAAAATCAACAGGGATAATCAATTAAACTAAAGTTGGTTCTTTGAAAGATCAACAAAATTGATAAGCCTCTAACCAGGCTAACTAAGGAAAAAAGAAAGACACAAGTTACTAACATCAGATATAAAAGAGGGGATATCACTACATATCAAAAGGATAATAAAAGAATAGTAAGGGAATATTATGAGCGACTCTATGTCCCTAACTTGGATGAAATGGACACATTTCTTAAAAGACACAATATTCCAAAACACACACAAGAAGAAATAAACAACCTGAATAGGCCTATACCTAATAAAGAAATTGAGTCAAAAAATGACTATTGGCAGTTGTGCTCCTAGGTATTTACACAATTGCTTTGAAAACACACATCCACAGAAAAACCTACACTTGATAATTTATATCAGCTTTATTCCTAAACCCCTAAAATTTGAAGCAATGGAGTGTCCTCTAATCGGTGAATAAAAAAGCAAAGTGCAGTACATCTATACAATTGGTGTTATTTAGTGATAAAGCAGAAATGAGATGTTCAGTGAGGAACATGTAGAAATCCTTATAATTTTGCAAGCCAAAATCAAGATGTCTGTAGTCCTGTGCTCTCACCAGTTTCTCTAGAGGGACAATTCATTCCTTTCTTCCTCCTACTGAGGGTGTCCACATTTCTTAGTTTGTGGCCACATCACTCCAGTTCAAGGTCAACATCTTCAAATTTCTGTACCCTCCATTTTCATATCACCTCTTTGGTGTGTTATCACATCGCACTCTGTCTGCCTCCTGTAAGGATACATGTAATTGCATTTAACCCCCACCATGATAACTCTGAGTAACCTCCTGATCTCAAAATCCTTAATTTAAAAACATCCTCAGTCTTTGCCACATAGGTAATAGTTACCTATTAAGACTTTATCTCTTTGGGGACATTATTAAGACTACTACAGTCTACTATTATTTAGCTATAATTTTGGTATGTGACATTATATAATTGTAAACACCCACATAGGACTAAATCATATATATATATGATATATATATGACATGTATCTGATAAATATATATGACATATATATCTGATAAATATGTATATGACATATATATATATATATCAGACTGTTCTTAGAGAACCTAATTCTATTACAAATATAGGAATAAACCTTACTGAAAAGGGTGGTAGGAAAATGTGTTGACCTAATTTCCTTTGGAAATGAGTGGGATTTGTAAAATTAAATAACAAAGGAACTACAGATAATGTTTGTCACACAAATGTACTATCTTAATGTAAAGTGTTTGTAACAGTGGCAACTGGGTGCAGATTATATGGAAACTTTGTAATATATCCTCAATTTTTATGTAAATCTCAAATTGTTTTAAACCTAATGTCTTTAAAAAGCTGTCAACTGCCATCAGTTAACTGCAGAATACACCATGTTTTAAAATGTACCTGACATATATGTAACAAAAATTTAGCATATTCTTGCCCATAAAACAAGTTTCAACAAGTTTGAAATGACTCAACTCATATTTGCCACTGAAAAATTATTTTGGAACTATATGAAAAAAATAAAATTAGAAAGTCTCCAAAGGTTTCAAAATTAAGACACGAATTGCTAAAAACTCATTGGCCAAAAATAACATCACAATAGGGTAACAAAATATCGTGAGTTAAAGATTAATAATAATTCAACATATAAAACATGGAATCAGTTAACACATTTTTAAAAAGAAAATTTACAGTTTAAAGAAGAAAGCCAAATCAATTACCCTAGTTTTTAAATCAAGAAGGCAAAAAAGAAAAGCAAATGTAACCTAAAATATTTTTTGTGGAGAAAAATATTATCATATATGCAAAAAGGAAAAATATAGAAAAATCTACATATTTACATACTATTAGAATATTTGAATGCATAATCCAACACCTCACAACCAGATAAAATAAGGCCCAGAGGGCTTCACTGGTATATTATTTCAAACTCTTGAAGAAAATGTAATTCCTATATTATAAGCATGTCTTTCAAAAAATAGAAAATAGATACTCTCAACTCTTTTAATAACACCACAATAATATTCATATCAAAACCTATCTTGATAGTACTAGACAGGCTGACTTTTTCCTAGGGCAAAAATGCAAAGAATCCTAAGTAAAATTTTAAGAAACCGTGGGATTATTTTATGAATTTAAGGTTGATATAACATTGAAAAAAATGCATTTAATCATGATACAAAATAAAGGAGAGAAAACTTTTAATAATATGCAACACCTGTCCCTGATAAAAACTCTCTGCCATCTGATGCATTAACTTGAGGCAATAGTCCTATGTGTTATATTAAAGGATTTGTGTGGCAAGCAAATAGCCTCACAGTCTCTCAGCATTTTTTTTGTTGTTGTTAACCAATTTTTATACGTCTTGAATAAAAATTTCTTTACTTGCTTTTCAATCCTGGGACTATTATTTCAAGAATTTTCAGAAGGCTGTGTTTTTGTTTGCATGTTTATTTGTTTATTGTTTTTGTCAGTATCCCTGGGATCACTAGGAGTGATTACCAGTATCACTGGCAGTGGGTCAGTGGAGCTCTTCCCCCTAAAGTCAGAATTCAATCTTCTAGTAATTCTTGCATGGGCTTCTAAGATGCTGCTTTGGGAACATAGAAGGAGGGGATTTCACAGTTATAACTATAAATTTGATTAATAAAGTTAAAATATATAAAATCATAAACATCTTGAAAAAAATAAATGTTGATCTTACTGATAACCAGGAAGAGATAGGAAGAGAAAGTCATATTATAGATAAAGCCATCACAGTGGCATGGAGCTCTAGATTTGACTTCATAAAAGCTAAACAATGGCCGGGCATGGTGGCTCATGCCTGTAATCCCAACACTTTGGAAGGCTGAGGCGGGCAGATCACCTGAAGTCAGGAGTTTGAGACCAGCCTGGCCAACATGGTGAAACCTCATCTCTACTAAAGATACAAAAATTAGCCAGGCATAGTGGTGGGTGCCTGTAATCCCAGCTACTCAGGAGGCTGAGGCAGGAGAATCGCTTGAACCTGGGAGGCAGAGATTGCAGTGAGCCAAGACTGCACCACTGCTTTCTAGCCTGGGCAACAGAGTGAGACTCCGTCTCAAAACAAACAAACAAACAAACAAACAAACAAACTGAACAATGATCTTCTCTGAAAATAATAAAATTAAAAGACCATTGGGTAAATATATCAGGACAAATGTGTCAGACCAAGAGTTGACTGCCTTTGGATAGTAAATGGTGCTAAATTAAAAAAAAAAAAAAACTATATTTAATTTGCCACTTAAAAAGTGGATAAACTGCTTGATCAGAATATCTAATTAAGAAACACAAAAGACTAAAAATTATATGAGGACATTCTTGACTTTCATGTAATTGATGGGTACACAGGGAAGGTGACATCTCTTTACACATGTTGTGTACTAACATGTTGTGTTAGTACTTTACACATGTTGTGTCTAACATAGGCTGTATTAACATTTGTCCCATGTTTTGCATTTATCACAGTTATTTATATTGGAACCAACCAGAGACCAATGCCTTTCTGAGAAATGATTGAAGGAGACCCCTTAAATGAAAAGGCAAATGGCTATGTAGGGATATAAATAAAAATTATGGAGAAAAAAAAGCAAGAGTATGATGGCAAGAAATATAACGATAAGGACCACTCTCTTTGTGGATACAGACATGTTTTCACAAGTTTCGTAAAACGCAAACAAAGCAGCCCAAATGCAGCTGAAAGTCATGGCAGACCCTAGGGAGTCCAAAGCCGGTCACAACTTTAATCCTGATGTGAAAGGAGTTACAACTAATCACCTAGTGATCAGCAGGAAAAGGCAGAAATTCGTATTTTAAAAACTACTTCATAGCGATCTGTAATGAGGGAAAGATCATAATTGTGTGGAGAGAAGAAAGAGGTCTTGTGAGTTTTTGCTTAAAGAACTTGAATTAAATTCAAATGCCAATTAACTCTCTTGAAAAATTTAATTATATGAAAGCTTTGAGAATGGTGTTATGTGCCAGACAGTTTTTTATAATATCTAAAAAAATTAAATATCTTAGTCACTATTAAAATTACAGTTGGTTCATTGAGTGTCCACTATGTGTCAAGCTTTGCATATGCAAATATTTCTACACAATTTTTCTATGAGTCAAGTAATTTTATTATTGACATATAACAAAAGAGGTAATGAGAGATTAAATAATTTGTATAATATTCCACAGATACTTGTTAATAAATAAATCAAGTATAGAGATACATTTTTTGATCACGCATTCTTAAACAATGAAGGAATACATTGTTTTTCAAAAAAAAATTAAGATGATATAATTGCTTTACCACATTATATATATGACATTTCAAATCAGTTTGAGATAAAGATAGAATATACACCTGAGGAAAATAGCTGGGCTTTTAGGGAGCAAAAGAAAAGATAAAAACCTAGAACCTTTTTTCCAACTTATATCAGAATAAAATCCTGATGAATCTAGGTTAAGATGCCAACAAGAGTCTTAAAACTTTTTAAAAAGCATTTGATTGCCCCAATGCACTCCAGCCTGGGTGACAGAGCAAGTCTCTGTCTCAAAAAAAAAAGGCACAAATAATTTCACTTATATTCTTGATGTGGGTCAAATATTTCTAATTATAGCACAATATTCAAATACCATTAAGGTGGGATATTTAACAAAATTAAAATAGATATATTTCTAATAAATATAAAGGAAACCCAAATAAAAACAAAAAAGTATATGCCTATAGAAAAATAACGAATGGATCATAGTGCAAAAAATACTGTGTATAGTATATGAACAAATAGCTATAAAAAGGCACATATATGGTGATTAAATACATGAAGATTGCTTCAACATTACTCATACATAAAAATACTACAATAAAAATAAATTTTAAAAAATGTTTATTTTTATATGAGTTAGGTGATAAACAAGATTTGAAAATATTCAATGTCATGTGTAAATGTACCCTTACATATGATAGCAGTGTATGAATAAGTAGTTGTAATCTATTTGGTATGAACTTAATAACTTCCAAAATAAAAATAACAAATTTTTGTTATTTTGTTATTTTATGAACAACTTTATATAGTCTTTATATTGATTGGAAGCATACTAAAAACCTGCAAAAATTTATTGCAGCATTTTTTGCATGTTAAAAATGACAAACAGCCTAAGTAATTTTTAAGAAGAAATGAAATGAATAGAGTATGTTTCATAAATAAAATGGTATTGAAAAAGACAGGTAGATCTGCCTGGAGGATGTGAAAAATTTGTGGTCTCAAATACTAAGCTACAAGAAATGTGGAGTAAAGAGGGTAGAACACTTATGGTTGGGGTATTTTCTAGAAGATTACAGAAGAAACTTAAATACACACACACAAACACACACACACACACACACACACACACACACACACACACACTCTTTCCCTTTCTCTCTCTTTCTGTCTCTCCATCATGGTCTTGAGATGTCAGACAAGAGTAGCAATAAAGAGACAATTACATTTATTTTTAAACCTTGGTAATATTTACATTTTAGTCATTATATACCCTCTGTTAAATACTTAGATGTAGAAAAATGTATTATCACCAAACAGCATGTAAACAGCTTTCTTACAGAAATTCTAAAGATATTTTTAAGTCTTTTTATCTATCTAATCTATCACCTACCTCACCTATTTCTTTTACCTTCCTGCCTACCTATTTGAATGAAGAAGTGACAATTTTAAAAATAAGTTACAAACTATAAACTAAAAATTTACATCCTATAATTTATTTAAAAATTTATTTGGGCCTGGTGTGGTGGCTCACACCTGTAATCCCAGCATTTAGGGAGGCTGAGATGGGAGGATCATGAGATCAGGAGATCGAGATCATCCTGGCTAACACAGTGAAACCCCGTCTCTACTAAAAATTCAAAAAAAATTAGCCGGGCATGGTGGCACGCACCTGTAGTCCCAGCTACTCAGGAGGCTGAGGCAGGAGTATCACTTGAACCCGGGAGGTGGAAGTTGCAGTGAGCTGACATCGCGCCACTGCATGCCAGCCTGGGTGACAGGGTGAGACTGTCTCAAAAAAAAAAAAAAAAAAGAAAAAATTTTACTTGTTTTCTGTTTTTATAATATAGCTATTTTAAATAATTTTTCAAGACATTTAAATATATATTACATGTTGAAGTAAAATATTTTTATAATCACCAATTTCATTAATTTTAATAGGTTTTATTAATTCCCAAATTTAAGTTGATAAACTATCAAATTCATGGCAATCTCTAGGCTAACATGTTGAATTTGTTAAAATTTAATGAATACTAGAACTGAAAATCTAAATCAGCATTATGCCTGTGTACAATACAACAAAAACATTGAGAACCATTGCTTTCTTCACCTGGTTTCATTATACTTAAAAAAATCTCTGCTTAACTACTCTTTGTTTTGTTATCACTGTATAGTACAAGTTGTTTGTATATTTTCATAATGAGAATGACAAAATAAATTTACAATGTGTTATTTCACATTAAAGAATGTGTTTAAATCTTTTAATTAAAAAGTTAATTAAATCCCTGAGAACCGCCTTTGTTATATGCAAAGCTGTTCATAATGCTTATTCTGTGTCATATGTTAAAAAAAAAGTTTTGAATTCCCACTAAGGTTTGCATTTTTTTAAGTATTTGATATGATAAGTATCAGAAAGAATTGGAATTTGCTTTAAAAATATCTGGTAATGGTAACATTGCTGTTTCTATAAATTTAACTTAAAATTAGTAGAAAAAATAGAAAACACATTTTTTGTTGTGTAACTTCTGTTTTTTTAAATGCATTACTTAAAGTTGTAAATACTTTTGAACAAATGCCTCGAATTTAAATTAAATTTAATATTTCATATTAAATATTGTTAATATAAAATAAAACAATGCCTGTACTTTGCTAAAGAAGGCTTGTAAAATATAATAAATACCTCATTTATACATATTTACAGAGACAGTTTTATATCACGCCAGATGATACGATTTATTGCAAATTTTTAATACTCTCTTGTAACTCTGGGATTGAAATTGTTTAATAAATGTTTCAATAAAGGACTTGCTCATTATCGCTGTTCACTGTCATTTAACCCTCTCTTATTGTGTTTGAAACCAGTGATAGCATCACACTGGTAGCGTAGATCCACTAGTTCTTTCTGTCACCAGGGAAGATTTAGCAATATTAATTCACTTTAACAGTACAATTATTTTTCTATTGGCCTTTGGATGATGCAAAAGAAATACAGAATTGATAAGGGAATGATATAAGAATTGAATAAGCATTTTCCTGCATACTTGCTGCTTGGATTCTAGAGGAATCAGCTTTTATAATTCTTCAAGTAATCTGATTTTTAAAATTTTCTCTTTCATATTTGTTTAAAGACTGCTAAGTTTTTGACACACACAACCATTACCAGTCAATAGGCTCGAAGAATCTTTGCTCCTAGAATTGCTTATTATGTGTGGCATCTGCCTCCCAAGTTATTACCATGTTGGTAATAACCATTTTACCATATTGCCAGTGCATAAAATTAAAAATCTGCCTTCTAGCTGAAGGAATTCATTGTTTTTTCTATCATCATCTGATGGTTAGGCCACTACAACACATTTTAAGTATTTCTTACAAAAACATATCATTAAAGATACCACATAATGCTTAAAAAATATATATATAATGTTGTCCAGACCAGTCTTGAACTCGAACTCCTCAAAACAAGTGATTCTCCTGCCTTGTGCAGCTTATATTATGCATTTTTAAGAATGAAATACAGAATTTGGGGGCAAGCTTTCAGTGAATTACCACAGCTACCATTTGTTTTTTGTGTCTCTCTCACGTGCCACACATTTCAGCAGACTTTTTGTGGCAAACTAATTTCAAGGTGATGTGGAAGTATAGAAGAATAAATGCACATTCTATGAACAGTGTATATCTCTTCGTCTTGAACCTTCGTTTAAAATACACATGAAGGGGATAAAAGTAGTGAATATAAGGAAGCCATGAGAGATAATTTATTTGGAGATAATTGCTGGAGTGCTATAAAGTAGTGAAGTTTGACTAGCACTGCACCTGTGTGTCAAGAACTATGATTTTAAGCAAAAAATGCACAGTGCATGATAGGTGTCCGTAGTTTTGGAGGAACAGAGCAATGGAATTGGATGCCAGAAAAAGAAAATGTTGAGAAACTTTTGTGACTGACCAAACTTTGTGAAATGGAGACAAATAAGCTTTCATGAAGAGTAAAATATGCTTTCCTTAAATGAGGGAGTACAGGACACAGAAGAGTTTCAAATGCACGACAGGTATCTGCTTTATGCTCCGTTTAAGTTACATTTTTCTAAGAAAATGTCCATTTATCCAAATTTTAAATTTGGATAAATTTGTTTATGTTTCTTTGTAATGTCTCTTATAGATGACTCAGCATTCATTCTCCTTTTCATTCCTAGCATTTGATAATTATCCATATGAAAAAAATTCAAATGGCAATTAAAACATATGTGTTGTGTGATTATTTCATTAATATGACTTGGGACATAGTTATATATATATATAATATTTTTCAAAATGTCAGTTTTATGTCCCCTCTATGATTTAATGAACTGAATTAATTCAATGTATCTGTTTCTCCCAATTCTATCTGCAGAGTTTTTTTTTAGTAAATACTGAATTATTAAATGCAGTTCTTATGGCTCATGAGGATACATTTCATTTTCAACTTAATTAAAAACATAATTTTAAATCAATTTTAATGTATATACTTGTGTATAACACTGGATAAATTATTGGACTAGTGCTATTTCATTGCTTTGATTTTAATTCCTTTAAAAAATCTATTTTCTGCTTAATTTTTATTGAGACTGTTCAATAATGTGCACATAGCATTACTTTTGTTTGGTGCATTGTTATTTAGCTTGACTACCAATCGTTAGTTTTACATAACTATGTTTCAACCTTAATCATTTATTTTAATAAATTATAAGTTTTCAGGCCTTCACATTTTTGAATGTGTCTTCTTGTTGGGCCATTTAATGGTAGAAAAGTGTTTTCACTCATCACATTTCATTTTACTCATAACCAGGTTCTTAAGACTGTGGCAGCACACTAGGCAGCATTAATAAAGCATGTCTTGGAGCACTGTATTTGTTTTCACAGACTGAAATCAATTCACCTTGAAAGTACTGCTCATATAGGATGAACAACTGCAGATAAGAAGATCTATCCTACTAGCAATGAAAAAATAGCCTCAGAGAGTTATAAATTTAAAAGAAAATATGTTTGTTGGAATTCGGTGCCTCTATACATCTTAAACTGGCTTGGCTATTAGTATATTACATGGAGAGTAAGATTTTTCTTAGTGCCAATGAGGCAATCTGGCACTGCCAGACAATAGTCCAAGAGAAGAGAAGTTAAATCTCCCAGGTCCATCAGTATACATACACTGAAGGAAATAACTTATGAAATTGTATACATAGGGATTACAATGCAGAAAAAGAGTTTTACGCTAGAAAAAAATGTGCACATAAGATTCAATAAAAATAATCTTTTCTAGAAGGGAATAAGTGTTCATGAGGTTTTCAGAGCAGTTAAGAATACTTATTATTCCTTTTAACAGTCTGAATAGAACCATTGAGAATATAACAACATATTTAATAAGCACAGTCTTACAGTTTTTAGCTGGAATGTTACTGTTTAGACATGTACACATTGATCTTTCCTCCAGACTAATGTAATAATTTTCTTGATTCCTTTACTAATCTTGAAAATTTCCTTAAAGGGAATACAATATTTTCTACAGATAATTTAAAAATACATTGAATGAACTTAATATTCAAAGTGGAATTCTACCTTCAGGTTCATTATTCATGAAATAAGCTTAATAATAACACCTTAGAAGTATATTGTATTAGTCCATTTTTCACACTGCTATAAAGAACTGCCCAAGACTAGGTAATTTATAAAGAAAATAGGTTTAATTGACTTACAGATTCGCATGGCTGGGGAGTCCTCAGGAAACTTACAATCATGGCAGAAGGCACCTCTTCACAGGGCAGCAGGAGAGAGAAAGAGTGCCAACAGGGGAAATGGCGGACTTTTATAAACCCATCAAATCTCATAAGAACTCACTCACTATCATGAGAACAGCACAGGGGAAACCGCCCCCAGGATCCAGTCACCTCCCACCAGGTCCCTCTCTTGAAACGTAGAGATTATGGGGATTACAATTCAGGATGAGATTTGTGTGGGCACACACAGACAATTTGTATCATAAATCAAATTTGAGATGAGAATTAAATTTCAAAAAAAATACTCTTCATTATGTTCCACAGGAATTAGCCATACAGCCATCTCAGTTACTACGTTTCTAACCAAGTCAAATGTAGTTCCCATTTCCCACTCCCTCACTCAGAGGGAGCAACACAGCTGTGTAAGCCAAATTCCTACTTTCAAAAGTGAGGTGAAAATTATAATATATGCTAATTGATATGAATACAAAAACATCTTGAAGAATTTATCATAGTATATCTTCTAAAATCATAATAAATGATTCAAAACACATTCTTAAGTATATGTTTTAAATACTTCTGATAGATACTGTTGAGCTACTGTCCTAAAAATTTACACAATCTTAGCAATATACTAGAATACATAACCTTATAATTATTTTTCACATTATTTTATTAGGAATATTATCAAAAACCAAAGTGGAAATATTTTACAGTGAACATTTGGTAACAACCTAGAATCTATTACTATTGTATTACTGCACTTGTTTTAGCCCATATGTATCTATTCTTCCTTTCACGTATCCATCAATGTAACTTAGTTTTCTGCATTTAAAAGTAAATCACATATATATTTTCACTAAATACTTCATTCTGCATATAATTCACTAAAACTCAAGTTTTTGTTTCCATTGCATTATCTGCATGCAATTAAATGTACTGTACTTTGACTAATGCATACACTTTTGTGCCAAGAAGAGTCCAGGGTCTGAGATTTTATCCTGATTGCAAAAGCACAGGGTTATTGGATGTTGGTAGTAAATGTGAAAGTCATTGTTCAGAGAAAAAGAATCATTCATCACTCACAGCAATAGCAATAGCCAGAGTAACATCGTGTTGGTTCCTTAAGCCAAAATTTCCAAATGGAAAGAGGTTAGCTGATGCTTAGCACAAACAGTGGGTTGTATTACAGGAGAGAATCTCTGCTATGGACAGTATGTTTCTGTCCCCTCAAAATTTACATATTAAAAATCTAACCCCCAATATGATCGTATTAAGAGATGGGGACTTTGGGATGTAATTAGGTCACAAAAGTAGAGCTCTTATGAGTGGGAGTAGTGCCTTTATTAAAAGACTAAAGAGAACTTACTTTCTCTCTCTTTGCTCTCCGTCATGTGAGGGTATAAGAAAAAGACAGCTATCTGCAAACCAGAAAGTGGGCCCTCACTGGACACTAGATCTACTGGCACCTTAATCTCATACTTCCAAGCCTCTGGAAACCTGAGCAATAAATATTTGCTGTTTAAGCCACACAGTATATGACATATTTGTTATAGCAGCCCAAATTTACTATGACAAACCCTTGAACTTAGGAAACCTCAGACTTTTAAAGGATTTACTAGTAAACTGTTGCCAACCTTTGCCACAGATGGAGATATTATCTTTATTATGCTAGAGAGCAAACAAATCATCTCTCTTCCCTAGAGAGAGGTATTATCTTTATTGTTCAGAGCTGTTTGCTATACAAATATTATTTAAAAGATGGTATAGAATAAAAATATCATCCATGCCTTTGCTTAGAAAACATGCATAAATGGACCTGAGAATAGTTTCTTGTTATACTTAATGCTTGTTTCTGTATGGAGTTGACTTTGAATAATTTTTTCTACTTATATGTACTCATCAACCATTATGATTAAGCTTAGCAACATATTCTTAGTTAGAAACCTTTGTGTTTTGCACCATTTAATAAAATCTACTATCAACAGGTTTAAATTAACAGAATGGGCCCAAATTCCAGTTAACCATGCCTCTTGAAGTCCAAGAGGAGAGGACAAAATGTCCATAAACAATCAAAATAAACCTTAGAAGGCTGGGTGGTTTCTCCTTAAGTTTCTGTATGTAATTTTCCATTTTGCCCAAGTCAATAATCCAGGTACAGCATTATATGGTAGTGATTACACAGACTTCAACTTGGCCCCTAGAATAAGTGTAGGGCACTTCCATTATACATAACTACTTGGTTCAGTGAATTAAGTCTGATCTTAGTGCTTTCCAGGGTGAGGTGGTTTTCTTTAAACACATTCATGTCACTTATGGTGACCCCTTAAGTATAAGTAACCCTGTTTGGGAGAGAAATACAAGTAAAATTATAAATTCCAAGAAAGAGGTACAATCCTAAAGATGTGTGATATGGGTTAGTGTCCCCACCCAAATCACATGTCAAGTTGTAATCCTCAGTGTTGGAGGAAGAGCCTAGAGGGAGGTGATTGGCTCACGGGGCAAGACTTCCCCCTTGCTGTTCCCATGATAGTGAACGAGTTATCATGAGATCTGGTTGTTTAAAAGTGTGTAGCACTTCCCCCTCCACTCTCTCTCTCCTGATCCACCATGTGCAGATATGTCTGCTTCCCATTCACCTTCCACCATGCTTGTAAGTTTCCTGAGGCCACCCCAGCTATGCCTCCTGCATAGCCTGCAGAACTGTACATCAATTATACCTCTTTTCTTTATAAATTACCCACTCTCAGGTAGTTATTTATAGCAGTGCAAGAACGAACTAATATAGAAAATTGGTACTGGCATTGGGCATTTCTATAAAGATTACAAAATGTGGAAGTAGCTTTGGAACTGGGTAACAGGCAGAGGTTGGAACAGTTTGGAGGGATCAGAAGAAGACAGGAAGATGTGGGAAAGCTTGGAGCTTCCTAGAGACATGTTAAGTTGTTGTGACCAGAATGCTGATAGTGATATGGATAAGGAAGTCCAGGCTGAGGTGGTCTGGTCTGAGATGGAGATGAGGAACCTACTGGGAAGTGGAATAAGGGTCACTTTTTCTATGCATTAGCAAAGAGACTGGCATCACTGTACACCTGTCCTAGAGATCTGTGGAACTTTTTACTTGAGAGAGATGATTTAGGGTATCTGGTGAAATAAATTTCTAAGCAGCAAAGTGATCAAGAAGGGGTCTGGCTGCTTCTAACAATATATGCTTATATTTGTGAGCAAAGAGATGATCTGAAACTGAAAGTTATATTTAAAAGGGAAGCAGAGAGTGAAAGTTTTGAAATTTGCAACCTGGCCATGTGGTAGTAAAGAAATATCCCTGTTTAGGGGAGGAATTCAAACTGGCTGCATAAATATGCAAAAGTAAAGAGGAGCTCAATGTCAACAGCCAAGACAATATAAGCAATGCCTAGAAGGCATTTTAGAGACCATCCTGGCAGCCCCTCCCATTACAGGTCCTGAGGACTAGGAGGGAAAAATGGTTTCCTGGGCCAGACCCAGGGTCATGCTGCCCTGCCCAACCTCAGGGCACTGGTCTCTATGTCTGAACTGCTCTAGCTCCACCTGTGGCTACAAGAGCCCCAGACATATCACAGGCTGCTGCTCCAGAAGGTGCAAGCCACAAGCCTTGGAAGCTTCCACATGGTGTTAAGCCTGAAGGTGTGCAAAGAATAAGAGTTGAGGATTGGGATCCTCCTTCTATATTTCAGAGGATGTATGGAAACACCTAGATATCCAGGAAGAAGTCTGCTGCAGGGGTGGAGCCCTCATGGAGAAACTCAACTAGGGTAGTGAAGAGGGGAAACGTGGGGCTGGGCCCCCAGACAGAGTCTCCACTGGGGTACTGCCTACTGCAGCTGTAAGAAGAGGGCCACAGTCCTTCAGACCCCAGAATGGTAGCTCCATCAACAGCTTGCATTATGCACTTGAAAAAGCCATAGTCACTCAATGACAGCCTGTGAAAGCAGCTGAGGGGGCTGTACCATGCAGAGCCACAAGAGCAGAGCTATCCAAGGCCTTGGCAGCCCACACCTTGCATTAGTGTGGTCTGGATGTAAGACAGGAATTCAAAGGATATTATTTTGGAGCTGTAAGACGTAATGACTGCCATGCTGGGTTTTGGATTTGCACGAGGCCTGTAGCCCCTTTGTTTTGGCCAGTTTCTCCCTTTTGGAATGAGGACATTTACTCGATGCCTGTACCACCACTGTATCTTGGAAGTAACTAACTTGTTTTTTATTTTCAGTGCTCATAGGTGAAACAAACATGCCTTGTCTCAGATGAGACTTTGGACTTGCCCTTATGAATTAATATTGGAATGAGTTAAAACTCTGGGGGACTGTTAGAAAGGCATGATTTTGTTTTGAAATGTGAAAAGGACATGAAATTTGGGAGGGGTGAGAGGTGGAATAATATGGTTTCGCTCTGTGTCCCCACTAAAGTCTGATTTTGACTTATAATCCTCAATGTTGGAGGAGGAGCCTAGTGGGAGGTAATTGTGTCATGAGGGCAAATGGCAAGTGTTCCCCTTGCTGCCTTCATGCTAGTGAGTGAGGTCCCACAACATGTGGTTGTTTAAAAGTGTGTAGCACTTCCCCATTTACTCCCTGTCTATTGTTCTGCCATGTGAAAATGTGCCTGCTTCCCCTTCACCTTCCACCATGATTATATGTTTCCTGAGGCTTCCCCTGCCATGCTTCCTGTACAGCCTGTGAAACTATGCATTAATTAAACCTCTTTTCTTCATAAATTACCCAGTCTCAGGTAATTCTTTATAGCAATGTGAGAACAGACTAATACAATCTGCCAAATATCTTTGGAAAGAACCTGTCTGCAATTTTTGGAGTCTGAAATAGGACCTACAGCCAATAATACCAGCTGATGTGTTGACCTTATGGTTCACAGTCTAGTTCAAATAATTAACTGTAGTTCTTCCTTCCTGGAGTTGTTGCTTAAGGGCAGTCAATTCAGTGTGTCCTAGTTGTAAACCAGATTATATTCCTCTGCCTCAAGTAAAGATTGAAAATAAGATTGGGAAAGGCATTGAGAGGGGTTGACTGGTGTGCATGGGAGGTGCAGTTGCTGGCACCATTCTCTGTTGCTTCAGATAGGCTTCTTGGTAATGTTCATGAAAATACACAAATAGTAATTGAGTTCCTCTACAATTTGAAGTGTCCTAGCACACTCAGCTTTCTATTCAAAGTGGCTGAGTTTGGAATATAGAGAGAACAAAATTTAGAGAATTAATGCCTTACAAATAATCTGGTTTTTTTAAAGGAATTTTTCTGTTTTTAATCTTATTGATTTATGAATAATAAAAAACTTTCCATACAAGCCAATTGTCAAATATGAGGTTTACACATATTTTTTCAAGTGTGGGCATCCTAGTCTTTCATTTTTTTAAGAATGTATTTCAAAAATTTTTTAAATTTTTTGAAGTAAATTTTACCAATTCTTTCTTTAATGATTCATTGATTCTTGAGTATTATTTAAGATATAGCTGCATAATTATGTGATAAATATTTTTTCATATAGTTTCTTCTGAAAGTTTGAGGTTTTAGCTTTTATGTTTATTTCTATGATACATTTCAAGTTAATTTTTTTCTGTCATGTGTAAGGTAAGATATAAGATTCTTTTACCCCATATGACATACAAATATTTCATTATCACTTGTTGAAAAAATTGTCATTTCTCAATTGAATTACATTGACCACCCTGTGGAAAATTGACCAGATGACTGTGTATTTATTTCTGGGTGATTTTGTCCTTTTCAGATTGAACTTCTCATCTCTCTGTTCACTCCATTAAATAGTACACATTAAGATTTTTATATCCCTGTAGGTCCCCTTTTCATAATTTCAATAAATGGAATCTTATAATCTATTAACTTTCAAACTGGCTTATTGACTTGAGTAAAATAATTAAATTTATCCATGCTGTATGAATTAGCTGCTTGTTCTTTTCATATCACTAAATAGCAGTCTATTGCATGGGTGTAAAACAGTTTGTTTATTCATTCACTTGTTTAAAAACATCTTGGTCGCTTTCAGGTTTTGACACCTATGAATTAAGCTGCTATAAATATTTAAAAGCAAGTTTTTAATGAGAACATATGTTTTCAGTTCACTTGAACAAATGCCAGTAAATGGAATTGCTAGGTCTGTGTTTAACTTCATGAGAAATTGCCAAATTTTCCTCCAAAGGGGCTTTATCATTTTTCAATTCCAAAGCAACAAATGAGACTGCCTGTTACTCTGAATTTTCACCAAAGGGTGTCATCAAATTTGGGGGGTTTAGACTTTTCTTTCTTTTTTTTTTTTTTTTTTTTGGAGTCTTATTCTGTCACCTAGGCTGGGGTGCTGTGGCATGATCTCGGCTCACTGCAACCTCCACCTCCTGGGTTCAAGCAATTCTTCTGCCTCAGCCTCCCGAGTAGCTGGAATTACAGGCGCCTGCCACTATGTCCAGCTAATTTTTGTATTTTTAGTAGAGATGGGGTTTCACCATAATGACCAGGCTGGTCTCAAACTCCTGACCTCAGGTGATTCGCCTGCCTTGGCCTTCCAAAGTTCTGAGATTACAGGTGTGAGCCACTGTGCCTGGCCCAGGATTTAGACCTCTGATAGGTATATAGGGGTGTTGCACTATGATTTCACAATAATGATGATGAATATTGAGGATATTTTAATGTGTGTTTTTGTAATTTGTAAACTCTTTGTTGGAGTGGCATTTCCTTTACTATGTCCTCATTGGGTTGTTGGTTCTTATTATTGAATGTAAAATGTTATTTTAGTATTTTGTATACAAGTTATTAATCTGATATAGAATTTGCAAATATTTTGTTCCAGTCTGTGACTTGTCTTTTCATTTTCCTAACACTATTATTCACAAAATAAAGTTTTTAATTTAATCAAGTTTAATTTATAATATTTTCTTTTCTTAACTTATGCTTATTGTTTTAGGTCTAAATCTTTAGTAGTAAACTAAGATTGACATTATTTTATACTATATTTTCTTCTAGAAATTTTATAATTTTGAATTTTAAATTTGAGTTATATTTTAATACAAATCATGTTACACAATTATACTTTTTATATGTGGTATGTAGTATGCATTGAGGTTCAATTATTTTTCCACGTATGGATATCCTATTTTGTAGCACATTTTTTAAAAAAGATTAACCTTTTTCCATTGAATTGCCTTTACATCTTTGTCAAAAGTAAGTTATTTATATTCGTGTGGATTTACTGATGGGTTCAGTACTTTGTTTCATTGATCTGCCTGTATATACTTTTGCAATGCCATACAACCTTGATTACTTTAGCATTATCGTAAGTATTAAAACTGGAAATTTTGAATTATCTAACTCTGTTTTTGTTCATCAGAAATTTTTATTCTACTTATTTTGGCCATCTATATACACTTTAGAATTAGTTTGTAGATACTACAGGAAAGTTAAAGATAATTTTGATAGGTAAATCTATACATAAAATTAGGATTGACTGACAGTCTAATAATATTAGCCTTCTATTACTTGTTTTTTTTTTTGAGACAGAATCTCACAGCAATGCTCAGGCTAGAGTACAATGGCACAATCTTGGCTCACTGCAACCTCTGCCTCCTGGGTTCAAGTGATTCTCCTGTCTCAGCTTCCTGAGTAGCTGGGACTACAGGTGTGTGCCACCACACCTGGCTGATTTTTGTATTTTTAGTAGAGACAGGGCTTCACCATATTGGCCAGGCTGGTCTCCAACTCCTGACCGCAAGTGATCTGCTTGCCTCAGCCTCCCAAAGTGCTGGGATTACAGGCGTGAGCCACCACAACCAGCCGTAATTTACTTTTATATGTTGACCTTGTGGGCTGAGACAAAGTAAAGTCACTTATTGATTTTAGTTTTTGTTTTTCCTTAGTTATTTTTTATATTCTCCATAGATTCTACATTGCTACAAATAAAGACAGTTTTATTTATTCCTTTGCAGTGTGTGTGTATATCTTTTATTTCTGTTTCTTGCCTTACTGCATTAACTAGTACTTCCAGTGTGATGCTGAATAGGAATGATAGAGATAATCCCATCTTTGTCTTGTTCCTCCTAGTCTTAGGGAAGAAAACACAGAATTTTACCATTAAGCATGATGTTAGTTGTAGGTTTTTCATCAATAAACTTTGATAGAATTAAAGAAGTTCTCTTTTATTCCTAGTTTGTTGAGGTTTTTATTATAGACATTGAATTTTGTCTTTTTTTCCTTCACATCTTAATACAGCCATTTTTTTTCTTAAATTTCTAAAATGGTGAATTGCATTGACTGATATTTGAATGTTGACAAATCTCTTTTAAATGGCATGTTTATCTTGTTCATGTTTATAATGATCATAAATATGGTTAGATTATAATCTTCCATATCACTATTTTCTTTTCTTATTAGTCTTTTCTGCCTTCTCTTATTTTAATTGATTTTGTTTAAGTTTCTACTGCTCTCATATATTTAATTGTGATAGGTGCATTTTTAAAAGTTTTTAAAACTTGATGTTATAATAGTGTTTATAAAGTCATCAAAGTTAATATTTGTTTGTTTCATGTGTATTATAAGGCCCTTATGACAGATTAGTCACCATTCTTTCCTCCAATCTCTAATGTCATGTTTATTTTTACATACACTATAAATACCCAAAACATATTTATTACTGTTGCTTCCAACATCCTGTTTTCTTTTAAAGAATGTAAAGTAAGAATATTCCCTTAATTTATTCAATTTCTGATTTTGTTCATTTCTTTCCTTTCCAGATTCTGACCTGTAAAATATTTATTCTGCTTTAAGAATGTTTTATTATTTGCAGCACATATATCCTAACAATTAATTTCATCAATTTTTTGCATAGGAAAGTCTTCATTTTTCTTATACTTTTGCAGGATATTTTCACTGAATATGGAATTTGAAGTTGGCATAGTGTAGTTTCTTCCTTTAATACTTTAAACATGTCACTTCACTGTGTTCTTGCTTATACTGTTTTTAATGAGAATTTGGCTTTAATTCTAATCCTTGTTTCTCTTCTATAGGTGAGATGTTTTGGTTTGGTTTTGTTGTGTTGTGTTTTTTCTCTGTGGCCTTTAAAATTTTCTTTTAACCTTGATCTCAGTAGTTTAGATATGATATGCCTAGGGTTGTGTTTGTGTGTGTGTGTGCATGCATGTATATGTTGGAGGGGATACACTTTATCCTACATTGTGTTTTCTGAGCTTTCTGGAGTAGTGGTTTCTTCTCTGCCATGAATATTTGAAGTTATCCACTATTATTTCCTCACATATGTCTCTTGCACCATTCTCTTTGTATTCCCTTTGTAAAATTTCAACCACATATATGCTGCAATTTTTGATATTTTCATACGTATTTTGGATGTACTGTTATATTTTAACATAGTTTATTTTCCATTCTTTTTTTCTTTGCCTTTTAGATTGGGTAATTTCTATTGATTTGTCATCAAGCTCACTCACTTTTCCCTGACTGTGGCAAGTCTACTAATGAACCCATAGACATATTTTTCGTTTACATTAGTTTGATTTTTATTTTAAAATTCCAATAAATTATTTCTTAAAGTTTCTATCTCTGTTGATAGGGGGAAGAACATGAGATATTTCATTCTTGGCTTTTAGTGTAATAATTTTTGTTATTTTGTTACTTTTGATATGTTTAAATTTTATTGTTGCTATGGTTACTAGAGGTGAAGTTTATTGCTAGGATGAGCACCAAAGGATTCAAATTTCTTTAGTAAAGCACTGTTTTAGTCTCAGTTTGGGGTCTATGTCCTTCCTTACTGTTCCTTCCCAATGAGAATCAGTCCCTTGAATCACTCTTTCCTGTATTCTCCACTAATTCTACTCAAAGCTTTTTAGTATCATTAAAAGGAGTCGGTAGAGAGTTTGGTTCTCTGATGTTCTTAGCTTTGCACTGTGGCCTGTATTGCAATCTGGGTTTCAACAGCATGCCTTTCAAAAAAATTTATTCTCCTACTTCAGTGTTGCATCACCTTTCCCCTCCTCCTGATTTTTTCCTTGCTGCTGGGGTTTATTCACCAGTGTCCTCAGTCTCAGGTTTTTTGCATCCTTTTTCCTGGCACATTAAAACTTTGTTACTTAGAACAGGGGTTCCCAACCCGGGACCCAGGCCACAGACGGGTACTAGTCCATAGCCTGTTAGGAACTAGGCCATACAACAGGAGGTGAGCAGTGGGCAAGCAAGCAAAACTTCATCTGTATTTACAGCTGCTCCCTATCGCTGGCATTACCACCTGAGCTCCACCTTGTTTCACATCAGCAGCGTGCTTATGGACTGTAGTTTACATTGATGGGTTTTTTCTTTCAATGATTTTGAAATTATACTTTATTTCTAGCATCTATTAACTTAATATATTTTAGCCTGTTTCCATAGTTATCAATATCATAACTGAACCAATTATTTTGTCTCAACATACATTTAAAAAGGGATTTAATTTTTGGATAATCCTTCACCCTCCCTGATAGTCGGTCTTGTCTACAAAAAAATTAATAATATATTTATATATTTAATACTACTTTAAAGAAGAAGACTTTGTCTTCTGGATATTTTGGGGAAGCTTCATTTATTCTATTTATCTCATTTGAAATTTGTGGTCCTATATCTAAGAGGACATCCTTATATTTAACTTCAGATTTATTCACCGTTTAGTTGTTTTAACTATGTTGGTATTTCACTCAATAACTATACATATTTTCACTATATATTATTGTCAGATTTATGCCATTGTATTTGTACATGTTTATATTTATAATTTGAGATTCTAAATATGTTAGCATATATTTTGATTGTCTTTAACATGAATAGAAACGTGACTCAATATAAACTTTTTATCTTAACATAAACAGCTTTTTATCTGAAAGCCTATAGATTATCTTGTGGTGCTTTCATTTTTTAGTGGGTTTAACGACAAAATTGATTTTTATATTTTCATAAATCATTTGGTTTTTGGTATCAATTTAGTGTGATTTCTATCTCATAATTTAATAAGTCTCATTTACAATACGTTTACTTTACAATTAAGTTTCTTTGATATTTATGTCTTGAATATTTTGAGATTTTCTTTCACTTTATCACTGAATTTTGACCAAATTCTACCCATTCTCCATTCTACCTTAATGCAATATGTAATTAATAGGAAATAAATATTACCTTTTTTATTTATAATATTATATATCTTTTTAAATTGATCTCTCAATTCATCAAGTATCTCCTATTTTTCACTTATCTGCAAGCAGCAGTGTGGCTAAATTTCCAACCACTAAATAATAATCATTTCCCATAATACAGTTTGCAATAAGATTTTTCTCATATTCATATAAACCATAAACTGCCATGTCCTCAAATTCTTAGATGCTACTGACGGTCTGTTCAGGTGAATGAAGGCTTTCACTAATGATTCCCTGAAAGTTCTTCCAGCTCGTACTCACTCCTTCATTCTAAAGCCATGCCCACGTTTTAGACTACTACTTAATAGTAACAAAATGTATATTTGTTATCTACTGATATATTACAAATACCTAAAAACAACCCTAGGGCTTTAACAACAAATATTTATTATCTAACAGTTTTTGTTGTTCAGGAATGCAGAACTCATTTAACTGCACATCTCTGATTCAAGGACTACCAAAAAGTAGAAGTTAACTTACCAGTTGGGGTTGCAATTTTACCTGAAGGCTTGATTGTAGAAGGATAAATATCCAAGCTTATTCACATAGTTGTTGCTGAACCTTTGTTCTTTGCCATGTCTCCTCTCCTCAGTGCAATCTAACAACATGGTGGCTGGTATCACACACACAAGGTCAGTAATACGAGACAGACTGAGACAGCAAGCACAATCAAGACAGACTGCAGCCTTTTGTAACCTACTCTTAGTAGTAACATTCCAATACTCCTGTCATATTCTACTCATTAGAAGAAAGTCAAGAAATTTAGCTTATATTCAAAAGGACAAGATTACACAAAGTTGTGAATACCAGTAGCCAGAAATTATTGGATGAGCATTTTAGAAGCTACCTGCCACAGATAGAAATTTCTAATGGTATAGACACTTTCTCCACACCCTGCAACACTCAGTGAAACAATATTCTTCCAGCTGTTATTTATCTAAAACAATCTTATTCTTTTTCAGTTATAAAAGTACAAGTATGCTACTAATCACAACTCAATCCCAAGTTATAGAAATTTATCTTAGATTTTTGAGTATGTGAAGTTTCAAAATTGCAGAATTGATTAGTTTCCCATTTTTATTGTGTATGCATTGCTATTTTATGGAGAAGAAAGTAGGTAAATTATCAATTGTTTCCTATTGTTTTGGAGCATTTAAACTAAACAATTTCTACCATTATGGGCTCAGTTATGTGATTATAGTATTTCGTTCTATAGTTAAACATATTTTCATGAAGTTATGATGAAATTTATCTAATTCATCACAATCTTCAAAAATCTATTCAAAAATCTATTGTTGATTTCTTAACAGCTTTACCTGGTGTGATGTCATCTGCTAATTTAATGAGCAGTCTGACTTTTTTCTTTTTTTGCTATTAGACTTCTAGGAAAATATATAAACAACTTCTCTTGGTTCAACTATTTTGATACCTTTTAAATATATTGCCTGAGCTTGACAGGGTCATTGACTATTACCATTTGGGTGTGATTCTCCTGTACACATTCTACAATTTATCAAGAATGTTGATGAGAATACCATGTGAGATGATGCCAAAAGGTCTTAGTCAAATGCAGATTTATTAGAGTTTTTTTCTTTCTCATTATCTAAGAAGTCTGTCATCCTGTCATCCTGCATGAGCAATGCTTTCAAGTTGAATGAATTTGAGATAGAAAGAACAAATATGCTGCCACTTACCATTCTTTATAAAAGCTTGACTAATACTTAATGCTGAATGTAGTGGAAGAATTGCTGACATGAACTATTTTCACCTTGTGAAGCCTAATTCTTATTCTACTTTTTTTCTTTGTCTTTAGTGCAGATTGAGAATAAAATCTTCACTGAAGGGGTATAAAATGTACGGTTCCCTAAGCAAAAGGTGGTGGCCATAAATTTTTTTCTCATTACTCTTTCTGTTCCAATATCCTGGTCACTTACATCTGTGAATGCATTATACCTTCAGTATGACACATATTGGTTTTCTTGTTTGACAGCTATAGCTGACAGATGAGGACATTCTAGAGATCATTCAAGGGCTGATGCCCATAGGTGAGGCTGAGAGGTAAGTATGTAGAAGTTGTTTCATATTTCTATTAGAGACCATGAAAACAACCACTAACCTAGATTTGTAATATTCCGTTTTTCCACCATTGTAATGGACAACCTAATTATTAATATAAACTGATCTTTTGCAGAACACCTAACACACATTTAAAAAGACAGAGTTCTAATTTTTTATTCTTTCATATTCACCCAAGTTAAATAATTTTATGGCTTGCCAAATCAGACAGACACTATTCACTGTCAAAAATCTGATTGGAAATTATATTTGAAAGCAGTATTGGCAATACATAGTAATTCATAGTCCGAGGATATTTCCATAACAAATTTACATAAATTCCTTTCTTAAAAACCATAGTTTAGATAACATTCAATTTTTAAAAATATATATGTATTTGTTTTCTCAGAATAACATGAGACTTTTGATTAATGGCTTATTTGTTAGTTTTTCATATAGCTTTATCATATCTCAATAAGCTTTTTCTTTAAAGCCTAATTCATACTTTTTCAGTAGAAGTCTACTATTTTGTATTTCTTCCTTGGCATAGAACATTTACATCTATTTTGAACACCTTTTATTTATATAACAATTTTCAATTTTTTATTTTAGATAACTCCAATATTAATTATGCTTAACTAAATATGTATCTTTGTATGTAGATGTATAAGGAGCTATGTATGACCTTCTATTAATTTGCACTTTCACTGAGAAAAGAATTATCCGGCCTCCAAACTTACAAGAGAAACACAGTAAGCTTTTGGCCATAAATTATAAATTATAAAGTTTAATTTTTATATAATCATATTAGATTCATGACTATGGGTTTCATACTTTATTTGCCCAATGTCTTGCCTAAAAAATGTGTAAGAAGTAGAGTTAATATGTTGAAACATGTTAATAGTAGTATAAAAGATAATGTTAAGAAATTTTTATAAACAAAAATGAAAGAATATGTAACATAACTAAAAATAAGTGTCCATACCAAAAGTACTATTTTGATTATAAGTAACAGTTATTCTACTAATTTTCATAGAAGTAAGGAGATATACTATTTTATTACAAATATTTTTTGTTTAGCATCAGCTATAAGTTATAGAACACACTACTATTAATAGATTAAAATTTCTATTTAATAGAATTGAAAGAAAAAGAATAAACCTGTGCCAAAATCTGAACATATAGAACTACATTTATAATTAAGTTTATTTACATATAAATATGAAAATAAATGGGAAAATTATACCACATATGCAAGCTTGGAAAATACATGTGTACTTCTATTAACTAAATTTTCTATAACAAAAATTTATAAAAATTATTAAGAAAAAGACACACTCATAGATAAATGAGTAGTATGCAAATATAAATGATCAATACATATGTAAAAAGTTGTTTTTATTAGTTATCAAAGCAATGCACAAAATATTACTTCACGGCATTTGCTTGGCAAAAATTAAAAATTATTTATCTACTAGCCTACCCATCTTTCAGGCAATTTCTGATGCTAATGAATATGGGGAGATAAAGAGGGAAATAAATTCTCATAGACTCCTACTGGAAATAAGAATAGTAACAAGCTTTTCAGAAAGCCATCTGGCAATGACTATTAAAACATATGATTCAGCAATCCTGTCTTGGATTTTATTTCACAGCTATAAGAAACACTTGTATATAAGGATATTTAGTATTTAGTATAAATTATTATTATTTCTATTTAGCATAATCTCATTAGGTGTTACTTATTTAACTATATATAGCACATGCATTTCTATTTTTTTTTAGTTTTGTAGAACACTTATCGTAAGATCTACTCTCAATAAATTTGAAGTGAATATGTATTATTATTAGCTATAAGCACAATATTGTGCAGCAGATCCTTAGAATGTATTCATCTTTCATAACTGAAACTTTATACCTGTTCATTAGCAACTTTTAATTTTCCCATTAAACCAGTCCTTGGCAACCAATATTCCACTCTCTGAATCTATGAAATTTACTAGATTATATATTTCATATAAGTGAAATCATGTAGTATTTGTCTTTCTGTGACTGGCTTATTTCATAAGCATAACATTCTAAAGGTTCATACATAATGTCATGAGTTGCAAAATTTCTTTTTTAAGGGTGCATAATATTTAATTGTATGTATATATCACATTTTATTTATTTATTTATCTATCTGTGAAAGTGCATTTAACTGGTTCCATTTTTTTAGCTATTGTAAATAGGGCTGCAACAAACATGAGATTGCTAATGTCTCTTTGAGATTGTGATTTCAATTATTCTTTATAAATATCCATAAGTGGGACTGCCGGATGATATGGTACTTCTATTTTTAGTTTTGTTTGAGGAACCTCCAGACTGATTTTCATAGCAGTTGCACCACTTTGCATTTCCACCTACAATGCACAAGGCTTCCAACGTTGCCACATTCTTGCCAACACTTGTTGTGTTTTGTTGTTTCGATAATAACCATTCTAACAGGTATCAAAACACTGTGGTTTGATTTACATCTTCCTGCAAATGACATTATTAGGTATAGAAAACTAGACTAAAGACTCAATTTAAAAAACTGTTAGAATTGACAAACTCAGTAAAGTTGCAAGATACAAAATTAACATAAAAATGAGTTGTGTTTCTATACACTAAGAACACACTATCTGAAAATAAAGTTAGGTAAACAGTTTCATTTATAATAGTACCAAAAAGTATAAAAATGAAGGAATAACCTTATGTAAGGAGGTGAAATTCTTGTTTATTGAAAATAATAAAGCATTGATAAAAGTAACAAAGCCAGAAAAACACAAGTGGAAAGACATCCTAGGTTTATCAGTAGAAAGACAATATCTTAAAGTGTCTACACCATACACAGCAAACTATAGATTCAATGCAATCTCTTTCAAAATTCTAACAGATTTTTTTCTCAGACCCAAAAAGAATTTTAAAATCCATATGAAATAAGAAAGGATTATAAACATCCAAATCAATACTGAGAAATAGGAACAAAGCTGAAGTCTTTACACTTCCTGATTTCAAAATACATTACAAAGCTACACAAATAAAAACAGTATAGCACTGGCATAAAAACTGACACATGGACCAACTGAATGGAAGACAGAGGCCAGAAATAAATTTACATATATGGTCAACTGATTTTTGACAAGGGTACCAAAAATATATGAAGGGGAATAGACAGTCTCTTCAATAAATGATGTTGACCAAAAAGTATTTCCCCATGCAAAAAAAAAAAAAAAAAATGAGCTTGCCTACCTTATACCACACTCAAAAATAAACTTAAAATAGATTAAAGACTTAAATGTAAGACATGAAACTGTAATACTCCCAGAATAAAAGGTGGAGGAAAAGCATGACATTGGTCTTGGCAACGTTTACATGGATATAACACCAAAAGCACAGGCAACAAAAGACAAAATAGAGAAATGGGACTATATCAAGCTAAAAAGCTTCCGCACAGCAAAGGAAAAAATCAACAGAGTGAAAGGACAGCTTATAAAATGAAAGAAAATATTAGCAAATCTATAAGTGACAAAGAAGTAATATTCAAAATATATATCAAACAATTAAATAACAAGAAAACTAATATCCCTATAAGACCTGAATAGAAATTTCTCTAAAGAAGAAATATAAATAGTCAATAGATATATAAAAAGATTTTCAAGACGCTTAATTATTAGCATATTTACTTTTGAAGAAGACAATATGTTTTGGAATTCTTTATATATTTTTGAAGATGAATTAAAATTTGTCAAGTCAAAATATTATAAGAAAAAAATTCAAAAATCTTGTGTAACCACATCCATGGTAAACAGCCCTTAACCTAGACCCAATAAGAATATTTAGTGAATGAAGAAACAAGAAAGTGCATGGGAATAAGTATCCAAAACAAATTTTGCGTAAAAAAATATCTAAACACCAAGCACAAAAATTATCAAGAAATTAATCCATCATGTACACCTTCTAAATAAATCTAAAAATATTCACAAAAAACTTGTCAAAGAAAATGCTACAAACTCCCAATTTTTCAAAAGTTTTTATTTTTTACAATAATTTGTCCAACTAATGAATACTAGAAATAAAAGACTTTGTGGAAAAACTTATTTTTCAAAAACATTTTCTTTGGTAAAATCTATTGTGTATAAACTATTTGGGATATCAATAAATGGCTAATTCTGAATAAAGTAGTTCAGATATTCAGATACTCATCAATTTTTACTTTTTATGTCACTGTACCAAAAAGATATATTAACATATGCCTTTTTATTTATTATTATTAAGTGATTTCAGTGTCTCACACAGCATAGTGAATCTAACTATATATATATAGAATGGAAAATCAGTAAACAACAATGTCATCATCACTGACAATTACAAAAATTGAAAAGTAAAATTTCTCAAGTCAAAATATTATAAAAAATTAATTGAGGGTATGTTTGATTTAGGAATCGCAAATATATGATCTTTTGTTCCATTACTTTATTTTTTCAGAAAATAATTATGGCACAATAAAATTAACAGAAAACATTATAAAATGAATTGAAGAAGGCAAAAATTAATGAAAAAAATCCCATGTTCAGGTGGTGTAACATACACAAATCAATAAATGTGATACACCACATAAACAGAGTTAAAAACAAAATCACATGATCATCTCAATAGATATAGAGAAGGCATTTGACAAAGTCTAACATACCTTTTTGATAAAAACCCTCAGCAAAATCAGCATAGAAGGGACATACTTTAAGGAAATTAAAGCCATCTGTGACAAACACACAGCCAACATTATACTAAATGGAGAAAAGCTTAAAGCATCCCCCCCTGAGAACTAGAACAAGACAAGGATGCCCACTTTCATCACTTCTATTCAACATAGTACTGGAAATCCTAGCCAGAGCAATCAGACAAGAGAAAAAATAAAAGGTATCCAAATCAGTAAAGAGGAAGTCAAACTGTTGCTGTTTTCCAAGGATATGATCATATACCTAGAAAACCCTAAAGACTAATCCAAAAGGCTCCTAGATCTGATAAATGAATTCAATAAAGTTTCAGGATACAATATCAATGTACACAAATCAGTAACACTGCTATACATTGATAGCAACCAAGCTGAGAATCAAATCAAGAACTCAACCCCTTTACAGTAGATGTAAAAATAATAATAATAATACAATACCAATATCTAGGAATATTCCCAACTTCAAACTATATTATAAGCCTATAGTCACCAAAACAACATGGTATTGGTATAAACACAGACACATAGACCAATGGAACAGAATAGAGAACCCAGAAATAAAGCTGAATACTTACAGCCTGTTAAACAAATGGTGCTGGGATTATTGGCAAGCCACATGTAGAAGAATAAAAGTGGATTCTCATCTCTCACCTTATACAAAAATTAACTCAAGACAGACCAAGGACTTAAATCTAAGACCTGAACCATAAAATTTCTAGAAGATAACATTGAATAAACCCTTCTAGACATTGCTTTAGGCAAAGACTTCATGACCAAGAACCCAAAAGCAAATGAAACAAAAACAAAAATGAATAGATAGGACTTAATTAAACTTGAAATCTTCTGCACAGCAAAAGAAATAATCAGCAGAATAAACAGACAACCCACTGAGTGGGAGAAAATCTTTGCAAACTATGAATCTGACAAAGGACTAATATCCAGAATCTACAAGGAACTCAAACAAATCAGCAAGAAAAAAACAAACAATCCCATCAAAAAGTGGGCTAAGGACATGAACAGCCAATTCTCAAAAGAAGATAAACAAATGGCCAACAAACATATGAAAAAAATGCTCAACATCACTATCAGGGAAATGCAAATCAAAACCACAATGTGATATCTTACTTCTGCAAGAATGGCCATAGTTAAAAAATAATAGATATTGGTTTGGAGGTGGTGTAAAGGGAACACTTTTACACTGCTGGTGGGAAGGTAAAGTAGTACAACTACCTTGGGAAACAGAATGGAAATTCCTTAAAAAACTAAAAGTAAAGGTACCATTTGATCCAGCAATCCCACTACCAGATATCTACCCAGAGAAAAAGAAGTTATTATATGAAAAAGACACTTGCACACATATGTTTATAGCAGCACAATTTGCAATTGCAAAAATATAAAACCAGCCCAAATGCTCATCAATCAACGAGTGAGTAAAAAAACTGTGGTACATACATACTATGGAATAGTTCTCATCCATAAAAAGGAATGAAATAATGTCATTCAGAGCAACCTCTGGATGGAGTTGGAGATCATTAATCTTCTTTTTTTTTTTTTTTTTTTTTTGAGACAGGATCTCACTTTGTCACCCAGGTTTCAATGCAGTGGTGTGATCTCAGGCTCACTGCAAACTCAGCCTCCTGGGCTCAGCAATCCTCCCCCTCAGCCCTTCAAGTAGCTGGAACTGCAGGTGGGAGCCACCATGCCCAGCTAATTTTTGTATTTTTGGTAGAGACAGTGTTTCACCATGTTGCCCAGCCTGGTCTCAAACCCCTAAGCTCAAGTGATCCACCTGTCTCTGTCTCCCAAAGTGCTGAAATTACAGGTGTGAGCCACCGCACCTGGCCTTGAGACCATTATTCTAAGTGAACGAACTCAGGAATGGAAAACCAAACATTGCATGTTCTCACTAATAAGCAGGAGCTTAGCTATAAGGATGCAAAGGCATAAGATTGATACAATGGATGTTGGGGCCTCAGGGGGAAGAGTGGGAGGTGAGTGAGGAATAAAAAAACTACATATCATGTACAGTGTACACTGCTCGGGTGATGAGTGCACTAAAAATCTCAGAAATCACCGCTAAAGAGCTTATCCATATAACCAAACACTACCTGTTCCCCTAAAACCTATTGAAATAAACAAATGGAAATATACCCGATGTTCATGGATTAAAAAAATTGTATTGTTAAAATGTTCATCATGTCCAGAGTGACCTACAGATTCAGTGTAATTCCTGTTAAATTTCCAATGACATTTGACACAGAAAGAGAAAAACTATCATAACATTCATTTTGAACTACAAAAGATTCCCAGTAGCCAAAGCAATTTTGAGTAAAAAGAACAGAACTGAAAGGAACACACTACCCAACTTCAAAATTTACTATAAAGCTATAGTAACCAAAACAGCGTAGTGACACACAGACTAATGGAACAGAATAGAGAGCCCGGAAATAAATCCATACACTTATAGTCAATTAATTTTTGACAAAATTGCCAAGACCCACAATGAAGGAAAGGGCAATCTCTTAAGTAAATGGCATTGGGAACACTGGATATTCACATGTAGAGGAATGAAATAGCACCCTTATCTCTCATCACATATAAAAATCAACTCAAAATGAGCTAAAGACATAAACATAAAACCTGAAACTACAAAACTACCAGAAGAAAGCATAGCAGAAAAAGCTATATGACATTACTCTGGTTAATGATTTCTTGAATATGATCTTCCAAAGACAAACAACAAAAGTTAAAATGGCAATAAGGATTACATAAAATGTAAAAGATTCTGCACAGCGAAAGAAATAATCAACAGAATGAAGATAACACCTATGAAAAGGGAAAGGGATAAAAGGAAATAAAAAAGGAATATAAGTGTATTTATTACCATTAAAATGTACACTTAAAAAGGTAAAGATGGCAAATTATATATATATAGTTTACCTCAATAAAATTAAAATTAAAAATTAAAAAATTAAAAACCCAAAATATATTAGAAATTAAACAACAGAATTGCAAGAAAACAAATGACCCAATTAAAAAAATGGGCAAAAAAAATCTGGATGGACATTTCTCAAAAGAAGACATACAAATGGGCAACAGGAATATGATAAAATGCTTAAAAGCACTAATCATCAGGGAAATGCAAATAAAAACCAGAGAGATATCACCTTACTCTTATTAGAATGGCTATTATCAAAAAGACAAAAGAGGCATGGCACGGTGGCTCATGCCTGTAAAGCCAGCAATCTGGGAGGCAGAGGTGATAGAACCAATTGAGACCAGGAGTTCAACATCAGCTTAAGAAACAAAGAGAGACCCCTGTCTCTACAAAATATAAAAATTAAAAAAAAATTAACCAAGCATGGTGGTGCATGCCTGCAATCCTAAGTATTCAGGAGGCTGAAGTGGGAGGATCCTTGAGCTCAGGAGGACGATGCTGCAGTGAGCTGAGATTGCACCACTGCGCTCCAGCCTGGGTGATGGAGCTAGCGAGACTCTGTCTCAAAATAGAAATAAATAAATAAAATAAAGAACGTGGACAAAAGGGAACTCTTGCATACTGTTGATGGAAATGTAAATTAGTGAAACTATTAAAGGAAATAATATTGAGGTTCTTTAAACATTGAAAATAGAACTACCATATGCTCCACAGATCTTACTACTGGGTATGCAGTTGACCCTTGAATAACATGGATTTCATCTGCATGGATCCACTTACAAGCTGATTTCCTTCTGCCCTGCCAACTCTGACACGCTGAAACCAACCCCTTCTCCTCTTCTTCCTCAGCCTATTCAACCTGAAGATGATGAAGACTTTTATGAGGATGGCTTCCACTTAATAAAGAGTAAATATATTTTATCTTTCTTATAATTTTCTTAATAACATTTTCTTATATAAAGAGTATTATAAAAATATAGTGTATTTTATATATATAAAAATATATATCTGTTATTCAACTGTTTATGTTATTGGTAATAATTTTTATCAACAGTAGGCTATTAATAGTTAAGTTTTGGGGGAGTCAACATTTATATATGGAGATTCAACTCTGCTGGGGAATGACACCCCAGCCCCCACATTACTCAAGGGTCAACTGTATATCCAAAATAAACAAAATCAGCATGTCAAAGAAATACACCTGCACTCCTGTACATTGCAGCATTATTCACAACACCCAAGATAGGGAAACAACCTAACTATCCATGAATGCATGAATGGACAAAGAAAATTTCTTATATGTACATAAGGGAACTGAATGTAATGTACTGAATAGTAATTCAGCCTGAAAAACAAAGGAAATTATGTTATTTGTGACAACATGGATGAACCTGGAGGACATTATGTTAAGTAAAATAAGCCAGGCACATGAAGACAACTACCACATAATCCCATATATATGTATAATCTAAGAAATTTGAGCTCATAGAATCAGAGAGTAGATTGGTCATTAACGGGGACTGGGGTGGTTGGGTAGGGGACTAGGGAGATCTTAGTAAAAGGCTACAAATATTTAGTTATATAGGAGAAATAAGTTCAAGAGATCTATTATACAATGTGAAGACTATAGCTAAAAATAATGTGTTGTACACTGGAATATTGCTAAGAGAGTGGATTTTTAGTGTTCTCACTACAAAAAATGATAAATATATAAGGTAACATACATATTAACCAGCTAAATGTAGTCAATCAAAACATCATGTTATTTATCACATATATATAGAGAGAATTTTTATTTTTCAATTAAAAATAGATGTCATTAAACAGAAAATTAGGGCAACCCCCTTTGGGTCCCCTCCCTTTGTATGGGAGCTCTGTTTTCACACTATTTCACTCTATTAAATCTTGCAACTGCACTCTTCTGGTCCACGTTTGTTATGGCTTGAGCTGAGCTTTTGCTCGCCATCCACCACTGCTGTTTGCCTCCGTCGCAGACCTACCACTGACTCCCATCCCTCCGGATCCGGCAGGGTGTCTGCTGTGCTCCTGATCCAGTGAGGCGCCCATTGCCACTCCCGATCGGGCTAAAGGCTTGCCATTGTTCCTGCACGGCTAAGTGCCCGGGTTCGTCCTAATTGAGCTGAACACTAGTCACTGTGTTCCAAGGTTCTCTTCCGTGACCCATAACTTCTAATAGAGCTATAACACTCACCACATGGCCCAAGATTCCATTCCTTGGAATCCTGTGAGGCCAAGAACCTCAGGTCAGAGAATATGAGGCTTGCCACCATCTTGGAAGTGACCCGCCGCCGTTTTGGAAGTAGCCTACCACCATCTTGGGAGCTCTGGGAGCAAGGACCCCTGGTAACATTTTGGAGACCACGAAGGGACATCCAAAGTGGTGAGTAATATTGGACCACTTTCTCTTGCTATTCTGTCCTATCCTTCCTTAGAATTGGAGGAAAATACTGGGCACCTGTCGGCCAGTTAAAAACGATTAGCGTGACCACCGGACTTAAGACTCAGGTGTGAGGCTGTCTGGGGAAGGGCTTTCTAACAACCCTCAACCCTTCTATTGGGGACGTTGGTCTGCCTCTAGCCAGCTTCCACTTTCAGTTTTCTTGGGGAAGCCGAGGGCTGACGAGGCAGAAAGCTGTCGCCCGGAACTCCCGGCAGTAGCGGGTTGAGATCATGGCGCAGCCAGTCTCTACTCAGCAGTCACCCATGCCTGCGCCCCTACCTTTCCTTCTGACCCATACTTCCTGGGTTCCAACCATGACTTTCTTCAAGGTGTAGCCCCAAAATTCTCCCTACCTCTGAATCTACTTTCTCTGATCCCTGCCTCCTAGGTACTAATGGTTCAGACTTTCATTTCCTCTGGCAAGTTGTATCTCCAAAGGGATCTAAGGAAGCTCTATCTGTGTCCTTAGGCACCTAGGCTATAACCCGGGAGTCTTATACCTGGTGTCCCTCCCGATTTAGGTATACAGCTCTCGACATGGGCAGTTATGTGGGACCCATTCCCCACCACCCTTGCCAGGGCCCCAAGTTTATAATGGCTAAGAGAGAAAGAGACAGAGAGATGGAGAGAGAGAGAGGGAGAGAGAGACAGAGAAAGACAAAGAGGGAGTCAAAGAGAAAAAGAAAGAAAAAGATAGAAATAGTTAAAAAAAAAAGTGTGCCCTATTCCTTTAAAAGCCAGGGTAAATTTAAAACCTGTAATTGATAATTGCCACTTTGTTGTCAGTGTAAATAAGGGTGTAGCAAATCCTTAACCCAGTAACCCACGGATGGGCCAAATGCATTCAGTCGGTAGCGGCAACTGCTTTGCTAAAAGTAGAAAAGTAACTTTTAGAGGAAACCTTGTTGTGTGCACACCTCACCAGTTCAGAATTATTCTAAGTCAAAAAAGGAAAAAAAAAAGCAAAAAGCCATTGTTTATACATCAAAAATCTTAAAGTATGGGGCTATTATGTTAGAAAAGGCTAATGTAACTCCAACCACTGATAATTCCCTTAACCCAGCCGATTTCCTTACAGGGGATTTAAATCTTAATTACCATACGAAGGTCCGAGCAGACCTAGGAGGAACTCCCTTCAGGAGAGGAGGATAGATGGTTCCTCCCAGGTGACTGAGACAAAACCACCATGGGTATTCAGTAATTGATACAGAGACTTGTGTGGAAGCAGAGTTAGAAAAATTGCCTAATAATTGGTCTCCTCAAACGTGCCAGCTGTTTGCACTCAGCCAAGCCTTAAAGTACTTACAGAATCAAAAGACTATCTCAATCCTGACTCAAAGGTTCCCTACACCCTCTCAGAAACGAATTTGCATAAGAACTGTTGTTTATGGGAATGCATCTTATGGGGCAGCTGGGTTGTTATGAAATACTCAGGAACCCAGCCCAACTCTAGGACTCACTCCTGAGGGCAAAGGCAATGTTGGGTATGCTGGTAAAGGACCACTAGAATCCAGCAGCCCAGACCCCTTTCTTTGTGGTCAAGAGAGACGGGAAAACAGGTGCAGGGCTGCTACATTGGTGAGCGTAACTAATCCTATAAGCAGAGGTCCATGGGTGGTTATGCACCCTGGAAAGTAACTCACCCCTGAGAGCAAAGGCAATGTTGGGTATGCTGGTAAAGGACCACTAGAATCCAGCAGCCTGGACCCCTTTCTTTGTGGTCAAGAGAGGCAGGAAAACAGCTGCAGGACTGCTACATCGGTGATTGTAACTAATCCGATAAGCAGAGGTCCATGGGTGGTTATGCACCCTGGAAAAGAATAAGCATTAGGCCCTTAGAGGACGCTCTAGGACTACTGCTCATCAGAAAATGACTAGGGGTGCTGGCATACCTATGTTCTTTCTTCAGATGGGAAATGTTCCCCCAACCCCAAGGCAAAAACACCCCTAAGATGTATTCTGGAGAATTAGGACCAATTTGACCCTCAGACGCTTGGAAATAAATGACTTATATTTTTCTACATTACCACCTGGCCACGATATCCTCTTCAAGGGGGAGAAACCTGGCTTCCAAAGGGAAGTATAAATTATAACACCATCTTACAGCTAGACCTCTTCCGTAGAAAGGAGGGCAAATGGAGTGAAGTGCCATATGTGCAAACTTTCTTTTCATTAAGAGATAACTTGCAATTATGTAAAAAGTGTGATTTATGTCCTACAGGAAGCCCTCAGACTACCTCCCTACCCCAGCGTCCCCCAGACTCTTCCCCAACTAATAAGGACCCCCCTTCAACCCAAACGATCCAAAAGGAGATAGATAAGGGTGTAAACAATGAACCAAAGAGTGCCAATATTCCCCGATTATGCCCCCTCCAAGCAGTGGGAGGGGAAAAACATGCTGCTTGGAAGGCTCTTATGATTCTGGTGGAAGCCAGAGCCTATTTTGAGTGGAATGTAAATGTCCAAATTGCTCTGGATGATGGTAGAGAAAGGGAATCACATAGCTTACTATCTAGAAAGAGCTAATCTGATAGAGCATTGAAAGGGTTTTTGGAAGGCAAAACAGAAGTGCCATCTCAAAATAAATATTTTGTAAGAAAGTGGCTGATATTAACTCCGGAAGGCAGAATATGCACTAAATTAGAGGCATCTGTAAGCGTGAGAGACCCATTTTCTCTACATCTTTGCCAAAACCTGGTGTTGTCAGATTTTTTTTTTTTTTTTTTGTTTTTGTTTTCCTCTTTTTGGCCATGCTGACATCTCGTGGTTTTAATTTGAAGTTCCGTGATGACTAATGTGGACCATCTTTTCATATGCTTATTTGCCATATATATTCTAATTGTTAAAATGTTTACCTGTGTCTTTCATCTATTTTTAATTTGGTTGGTGGTTCTTTACTGTTGAGTTTTTAGAGTTATTTGTATATTCAAGGTACTAATCCTTTATCAGAAATGTTGTTACCATAAATGTTGTCAAAATCTGTGACATGTCCTTTTGTCGTCTTAATAGATTCTTTTGTAAGAAAAATATTTTAATTTTTACAATGTCAAATTTATCAAGTTTTTCTTTACTGCTTGTACTTTTGATTTCATATCTAAGAATTCTGTCTGTACTTAGATTCTATGATTTCCTCCTTTGTTATGACAGTTTTTAGTTTTACATTTTGCATTTGAGTCCATCATCTTTTGAGCTAATTCTTTTGTACAAGGTGAAGATAGGTCAAGGTTTATTTTTGCCTTTGAATATCAAATTGCTCAAACACCATTTTTGAAATTCTGTCTTCTTCCTATTAACTTGCTTGTGTACCTTTGTGAAAAATCAATTGAGTATACCCCAGGGACCTATTTCTATGTTCTCTATTCTGCTGCATTAAATTATGTGTCTATCCCCTTGCTAATACCAGAGAATTTTGCTCATTTTAGATATATAATTTGTGAAATTCAGCAGACCAATAACTCATTTATTGCTTTCTCAAAATTATTTAAATGTTACTCTTCCTTTACCTTTTCATATACATTTTAGAATAGTGCTTTTTATATCTACCAAAATCTTGTTGGAAATTTGATAGAAAATATATTGAAATGTATCAATTAAAGGACAATTAACATACTTACTATCTTGAATTTTCCAATATATGAACACCATATCTTCCCTAATTAAATTAGAACTTATTTGATTTCTTTCATCAGTGTCTTCAGTATAGATGTCCTGTATATGTTTTATCACATTCACACTAAAAATTTTCATTTTGGAGCAATTGTAAAAACTATCTGGGCCTGAAGCTTTCTTTTTTTATTCTTTGGATGTTTACATTTTTAAATTTAATATCTTTGAATGATTATTGTGCTAACTAAGAAATGTATTTGGCCAGGCATGGTGGCTCACGCCTGTAACCCCAGCACTTTGAGAGGACAAGGCGGGTGGATTACTTGAGTCCAGGAGTTTGAGACCAGCTTGGCTAATATGGCAAAACCTTGTCGCTACGAAAAATACAAAAATTAGCTGGGTGTGGTGGCATACCCATGTAGTCACAGCTACTTGGGAGGATGAGGTGTGAGAATCTCTTGAATCTGGGAGGCTGAGATTGCAGTGAGCCAAGATCGTGCCACTGCACTCCAGCCTCGGCGACAGTGCGAGACTCTGTCTCAAAAAAAAAAAAATGTTATTTCATAATGTGGAAGTTATGGTAGTATGAAATTTTAAAGAATCAGTCCATTTTATCTCAGTCATCCAATTCATATGTTTAAAGTTGTATTATCATATTCCATTCTTCTTTTTTATTTTTTACATGTTATTTCAATTTTAATTGGCATACAATAGTTATATATATAGATAGTGTACATGTGATATTTTGATACCTTTCTACAATGTATAATAACCAAATGACAGTAACTTCAAATATTTATCTTTTCTTTGTGTGGGGAACATTATAATTCTTCTCTTTAGCTATTTTAAAATAGTTTATTTTTTGAATAGTCTATGCTTGTTATAACAATAAATTATTGTGAACTGTAATTTCCCTACTGTAGATTGAATATTAGAATGTATTCCTTCTAACTGTATTTTTGAACCCCTCAAATAACTTCTCTTTTTTTTTTTTTTACCCCTCAAATAACTTTTTACCCCTCAAATAACTTCTCATACACGCTGGCCCCTTCTCTTCCTTGCCTCTGGTAGTCATCATTCTATTCTCTGTCTCCATGTGACAGAGAATAGAATGGCTCCACTTTAGTTCCCACATACTAGTAAAAACATGCAAAATTTGTCTTTCTGTGACCGCCTTATTTCACTTAATAATCTCTTGTTTCATTTGTATTTCTGCAAATGACAGTATTTCGTTCTTTCTTATGGTTAAATAATATTCCATTGTGTATTTATACACATTTTCTTTATCATTCATTCGTTGATGGACACACATTGATATCCTATACTGGCTATTGTGAATAATGCTCAGTAAACATAGGAGTGCAGATATCTATTTGATACATTGATTTCCTTTTTAGTTGATATATACCCAGCAGTGTGATTGCTGCTTCATTTAGTAGCTCATTTTTTTTTTCTGGATCCTCCATAGTGGTTGCACTCATTTGCATTCCCACCAACAGTGTACAAGTGTTTCCCTTTTTCCCTATCCTTGACAATATTTGTTATTTTCATCTTTTTGATCATAGCCATTCTAGCTGAAGTGAGATGATATCTAATGTGGTTTTGATTTGCACTTCACTGATGATTAGAGATGTTGAGCATGTTTTTTTATACCTGTTGGTCATTTGGATGTCTTCTTTTGAGAAATGCCTATTCATATATTTTGCACATTTTTATTGAATTATTATTATATTATTGTTATTATTCTTTGCTATTGAGATGTTTGAGTTTCTTATATATACTTGTTTTTCTCTTATTGGATGAATAATTTGCAAATATTTCCTCTCATTCTCTAGGTTTTCTCTCCATTTTGTTAGTTGTTTCTTTTGAATGAAGCTGGTAAACTGAAATGCCAACCAGCAACAGATGAAAAAATGGCCCAACAAATGTCAGCCTTCTCTAGCCAGAGAATCTAGAGAGAGTAGAATAGGAAGACGGGGAAGAAAAAGTTTAGAAAATAACCATTCTACTTCAACCAAATAACAAAAACAAACAAACTAATAAAACCCTGTGGGTTTACCCTTGCCCAAATTAACAATAGCTGAGTGTGGAATTTAGACTTTGACCAGCACTATACTGTAACAATGTTAAGAGGCACAGAAGAAGTTTCCTCTGACATTGGGGTGAATTAGAAGAAGATTGAGTAGGAATCTCAGACTTTTATCCCCATTGGACACTAAGTATATATTTGAACACCCAATAAACTGTTCTCTTTAACTGTTTGACCTGCTTTTCAATTGTTTTTCATAAAAAATTATCTAACTTCTACTTCAACTATTTTGCTAATTATTTTAATGTCTATCAAATTAGCTGACCACAACATTCAGAAAAGAGATGAATATAAAATATATAACTTCTATATTATAAGTAAATCTAATGATAGCTATATATCTGAGAAAATAGTTTTATAATAATTCAAAACTACACTTCAATCCCTCTTTTCCCAAAATATTATGACAAATATATTTTTAGTTTCACAAAAAGCTTTATTGCCCATTAAAATTTATTAAACATATTGCTTTGTATTAATTGTTCATTGATAATGAGTACTACTTGCATTCTTAGACTGAAGCCCTCTAAGATAATTTTTTAAGCCTAGCTAAAATATACATGTTAATATTTATTTTTAACACTTTATTTTTCTCTTGGTATGCATTTGCACAAAGGAATATGCTATTTTTGTTAAATACTTGGAGAATTGAAAAGTTCTGTTGAATGCTGTTGAATATTTGAAAACTTGTTCCAGAAAAGGGGTTTTAGAGTTATTTTTGAGGAATAGTTTTAAATGTTTAAAGAACATTTTTAATCATAATAATGTGAAAAGTGGGGTGGAAGGGGAGATGTCCAAAAAAGATGAAGAACAAGCAGAAGCAAAGCAAAGCAAAGAAAAACAAAGAAGTTGTCCTGAATTGTGTCAAGTAAAGCACCCAAGGCAACAAACATTTTGTAAAATATAAAGTCATACTGGCATCTTACAATTATTAAAATGTGATAAAGCTAGAATACCTAAATATTTAGAAAAAAAATTCTTAAATATCTTCTTCATTAGATACAGAAAATTATATTTTAATTCTGTCAATAATCAAACAAACTAAACTTCCCTATGACTTGGACAATCAAAAATATATGTTTGTTGTTCTTATCAATCTGCTCAAAATGAGAATAAGGGAGCAAAATGTTAAAACTGCTTAAACTCACAAGAATAAAGAGAACAAGGGGGAACATGACAGCAAAAGAGATTCGTTATAAAATTGTAGATGATGGATACTTTTAGAACAAGTAAAAGATGACTAACAAAACAAACTTCTTAATTATTCTAAGTGTCTGTTGGGAGTGGAGCCAACATAAAGCAAATAAACTCATGCCACAGAATATTAGAAAGTATCAGAAATTTGAGGCAAGAAAAGAGTTGCAGAGAGAGGGCAAATATTAAAGGATATTTGATTGTGGCAATTTTGATGCAGAGAAGTTAATATTTCATTTTAGGAAGTCAATAGATATCGAAATAAAAAAATGTAAACTTAGGCTATATAACTGAAAGTAAATACAAGAACAAAGAGATGAAATTTGAATTTGGGGAAATAAATTCCATCTTATCAAATATTTGTAAAGCTATTCTACTTTAACAAATACGTGTAGACATTTCCTTAGTTTAAAGCAATCAAATAAAAAAACCCACAAGTACAATCAGAATATAGTACCATAAACTACTAATAAATGGCCCCCAAATTTTTGAAATGTAAGTAGAAGGTACATAGAAATTTAGTCTCTAAAATAATAAATTATATACAGAAAACTGTAGGCATTTGATTACATCAACATAAATATGGACTATTATACATTCTAAAAATTACATTATTAAATACTAGCATTAGTTTAGGATTCTTCATATTTATTCAGTGGTCATTTATAAATAAATAAACAAAACAAATGTGCATTCCATGAGGAATGCATGATTCAAAATAGACAAACTTATAAAAATAATAAATAATAAAATAAGATGTTGAACTTTACTAATAAAGTAAAAGATGTTATTCTAATTTTACTGATAAATTTTATGTTTTAAAAGGATTTACTGTATTTTGGCTAAGTTTTAGGAATTAGACAAAGGCAGTAACTGTTTATACCTCTAGATGAAAAATGGGCAATAGACATCAATATGGAAATCTTCAATATCAAAATTACACTTTAAATAACTTAATTAGGAAGAAGTGTGTGAATTATGGTGTTTTAATATTATTCATAATACTTAATCTAATGACTTAAGTATATATGAATATAGTTTTGGTTAATTATACTATGATATTTAGGGTATAATGAGGACTAAGTTAAGCCACTAATGACAAAATTCCACACAGCAACAAAATAACTAGAAACAATAATTAAACAACATCAAATTTATATCTCATGTAGATCTCTAGATCTGCATGATCATCATTGAGATGATACTCTATGGTATCAAAGATCCATACTCAATTTATCCTATCGAATCTCTGTGCAAAATCTTCCCTTCTCAATGTTGTCTCCTAGTCCAAGACAAATTTCCCAACTGCAGATAAAATATCTGCACTTAACCATCAAGAATAAGAAAGAAAAGATGAAAGTATTCTCCCTTTGCTCTACTTCTTTTTTTCTATTTTTTTTTATTTTGGAACAATCTTACACCTATAGAAAATTCTAAAGGTAGTATAGAGTTTCCATACAACCCACGCTCAGTTTCCTAGATTATTGAAAACTTACACTATAGCTTATTATATTGATTTGTTACAATTAATGAATCAATATTGACCCATTCTTATTAACTATAAAACATGATGTATTCAGATTTATTTGACTTTACCTTAATTTCTTTTTGTCTGTTCCAGAATTCCATCTAGGATGCCATATTACATTTTAAAATATGTCACCTTAGACTTATCTTGGTCATAAAAATTACTAAGGCTTTCCTTGTTTTTGATCATGTTGACAAGTTTGAGAAATACTGGTCAGATATTTAGCAGAATGTCCCTCAATTGTGATTTGTCTCATTTTTTTTCTTATGATTAGACTAGACTTATGGGTTAAAGAGGAAGTAATAGAGATAAAATATTATTTTGAATATATTATATCAAAGGTACACACAATTGGCACGACTTATTAGTGTCGATGTTAAGCTTAATCACCTGGCTGAGTAGAATTTTTCAGGTTTCTCCACTACATTATTATTTTCTTACTTTACATCTTGCATTCTTTAGAAGGAAGTTACTATATGTGGTGCACTGCATTTGTCAGGGGTTCTCCATAGAAACAGAGCCAATGTGATATATATCTATCTCTATCTCTTTTCCTATCTAATATATTTCTATATTTATATAGTGAGAAAGGTTGATGAAGGAATGATTAAAGAATTGTGGGGCCTGGCAAGTGCTAAATGTGTAGGTCAAGTGGGCAGGGTAAATCCAGGGAAAAGTTGATGTTAGAGTATTGAGTTGCAAATCTGAAACCAAGGTGGAAACTCAGGCACAGTTTCTAAGTTTCAGTCTTGAGATTGAATTATTTCTTCCTTAGAAATCTTGTCTTAAAATCTTAAATTGATTAGGTAAACTCCACCTGTATTATGGAGGGTAAATTAGTTTTCTCAATTTCCACAGATTTAAATATCAATTATATTTTTTGGTATTCAAAAATATTTTCAATTTTTGTGGGTACATAGTAGGTGTATATATTTATGGGGTACTTGAGCTGTTTTAATACAGGCATGCAATGTGTAAAATCACATCATAGCAAATGGGGGTATCTTTCCCCTCAAGCATTTACTTTTTATATTACAAACAATCCAATTATACTCTTTTAGTTATTTTTAAATGCAACAATTAAATTATCAATGACTACAGTCACCCTGTTGTACTATCAAATGTTAGGCCTTATTCATTCTATTTATTTTGTACCCATTAATCATCCTCACCTCTCCTCCACACCCCTACTACACTTCCCAGCCTCTGGTAATGATCCTTCTACTCTCTATGTCCATAAATTCAATTGTTTGCATATTTAGATCCTACAAACAAGTGAGAACATGCAATGTTTGTCTTCCTATGCCTGACTTATTTCACTTAATATAATGTCCTCCAGTTCCATTCATGTTGTTGCAAACGAAAGGATCTCATTCTTTGTTACAACTGAATAGTGCTCCAATGTGATTAAGTATCACATTTTCTTTACCTATCATTTCATCTGATTATGGACACTTAGGATGTTTCCAAATCTTAGCTATTGTAAACAGTGCTGCAACAAGCACAGGAGTGTAGATATCTCATCAATATAATAATTTATTTTCTTTTGGGTATATACCCAGCAGTGGAATTGCTGGATCATATGGTAGATCTATTTGTAGTTTTTTGAGAAACCTCCAAAGTGTTCTCCATAGTGCTTTTACTAATTTACATTCCCATCAACAGCACACAAGCGTTCTCTTTTCTTCATATCCTCACCAGCATTTGTTGTTGCCTATCTTTTGAATAGAAGCCATTTTACCTGGGGTGAGATGATATCTCATTGCAGTTTTGATTTGCATTTCTCTGATGATCAGTGATGTTGAGCACTTTTTCATTTGCCTGTTTGTAATTTGTATGTCTACTTTTGAGAAGTGTCTATTCAAATATTTTGTCCAGTTTTTAATTGGATTATTATTTTTCTATAGAATTGTTTGAACTCCATATATATTCTGGTTGTTAATCCCTTATCGGATGGGTAGTTTACAAATATTTTCTGCCATACTATGGGTTGTCTCTTCACTTTGTTGATTGTATCCTTTGCTTTTTAACTTGTTATGATTCCATTTGTCCGTTTTTACTTTGGTTGCCTTTGCTTTTGGGTTATATTACTCAAGAAATTTTTGTCCAGAACAATGTCCTGAAGAGTTTCCCCAATATTTTCTTGTAGTAGTTTTATAGTTTGAGGTCTTAGATTTAAGTCTTTAATCCAGTTTGATATAATTTTCGTACATGGTAAGAGAGAAGAGTCTAGTTTAATTCTTCTGCATACGGATATCCAGTTTTCCCAGCACCATTAATTGAGGAGAGTGTTGTTTACCCAGTGTATGTTCTTGGTACCTTTGTTGAAAATGAGTTCACTGCAAATGTGTGGATTTGTTATTGTTTTCTCTATTCTGTTCCATTGGTCTGTCTGTTTTTATGCCAGTGTGAAGCTATTTGGTTTCTAGAGCTGTGTAGTATAACTTGAAGTCAGGTAATGTGATCCTTCCAATTTCATTCTTTTTGCTGAGCGTAATTTTGGCTACTCTGGGCATTTTGTTGTTCCATACAAGTTTTGGAATTTTTTTTAAACATGGCCATTGGTATTTTGATAGGGATTGCATTGAATCTGTAGATTGCTATGGGTAGTGTGGACATTTTCACAATATTGATTCTTCCAATCCATGAACATGAAATTGATTTCCATTTTTTGGTGTCCTCTTCAATATATTTCATCAGTGTTTTATAGTTGTCAATACAGAGGACTTTCACTTCTTTGGTTAAGTTAATTCCTATGTATTTAATTTTTTTGTGGCTATTGTAAAAGGGATTACTTTTTAAAATTTCTTTTTCACATTGTCATTGTACATTGTTGGCATATAGAAATGCTACTGACTTTTGTATGTCAATTTTGTATTCTGCAACTTTACTGAATTTATTAGTTCCAAAAGTTTGTGTGTGTGTGTGTGTGTGTTTGTGTCTGTGTGTAGTCTTTAGGTTTTTCCAAATATAAGATTACATTATCTGCATGCAAGGATAACTTGATTTCTTCCTTTTCAATTTGGATGCCCTTTACTTCATTCTCTTGTCTGAATGCTCTAGCTAGGACTTCCAGTACTATGTTGAATAACAGTGGTGAAAGTGGGCATCCTTGTCATGTTCCAGATTTAAGACAAATGGTTTTCAGTTCTTCTCCATTCAAAATAATACTAGCTATGGGTCTGTCATATATGGCTTTTATTACATTGAGATGTGTTCCTTATATATCTAGTTTTTTTCAGGGATTTTATCATGAAGGGATGTTAAACTTTATCAAATTCTTTTTCAGCATCATTTGAAATGATCATATGGGTTTTGTCCTTCATTCTGTTGCTATGATGTATCGCATTGATTTATTTGCATATGGTGAATCATCCTTGAATCCCAGGGATAAATCCCACTGGGTCATGATTAATGATCTTTCTAATGTATTGTTGAATTTGGTTTGATAGTATTTTGTTGAGGATTTTTGCATCAATATTTATCAGAGATATTTGCCTGTAGTTGTTTTTTTTTTTTTAATGTGGCTTTGGTTTTGGTATCAGATTAATACTGGCATTGTAGAATGAGTTTGGAAATATTACCTCCATTTTTCAGAATAGTTTGAGTAGGATTGGTATTTCTTCTTTTTTATATGTTTGGTATTACTTCTTTTATATGTTTATCAATGAAGCCATCAAGTTCTGGGCTTTTATTTACCTTGAGACTTTTATTAGATCTTTGGTCTCATTACTTCACATGAGCCTGTTCAGGTTTTGGATTTCCTCATGGCTCAATCTTGTTAGGTTGCATGTGTCTAGGAATTTGTCCATTTCTTCTAGATTTTCCAGTTTATTGGCATATAGTTGCTCATAGTAGTCACTAATAATTTTTTGAACTTTTGTGGTATCAGATATAATGTCTCAATTTTTATCTTTGATTTTATTTATTAGGGTTTTCTCTCTTTTTTTTTTCTAAATCTGGCTAAAAGTTTGTCAATTTTGTTTAACTTTTTTCAAAAAAGCAACCTGTGTGTTTCATTTATCGTTTGTATTGTTTCCTTCATTTTAAATTCATTTATTTCTTTTCTGATATTTATTTTTTTCTTCTACTAGTTTCGAGTTTGGTTTGTTCTTGCTCTTCTAGTTATTTAAGATGCATAACTAGGTTATTTGAAGTTTTTCTTCCTTTTTATGTGAGCACTTATAGCTATAAACTTCTCCCTTAGTATTGCTTTTTCCATATCCCATAGGTTTTGGTATATGGTGTTTGTTTATCAACTGTTTCAAGAAATTTTTCAACTTCCTTCTTAATTTTTTCATTGACCCACTGGTCATTCAGGAGCATATTGTTTAATTTCCATGTATTTGATAGTTTCCAAAATTCCTCTTGCTACTAATTTCTAGTTTTATTTTGTTTTAGTCAGAGAACAAGCTTGATATTATTTATATGTCTGAATTTTTTAAGACTTGTTTTGTGGCCTGAAATATGGTCTATCCTTGAGAATGACCCATGTGCTAAGGAGAAGACTATGTATTCTCCAGCTGTTGAGTAAAATATTCTGTAAATATCTATCAGATTCATTAGGTCTACAGTGCAGATGATGTTCAATGTTTGTGTGTTGATTTTCTGTCTGGAAGATCTGTCCAATGTTAAAAGTGTGGTGTTGAACTCTCCAGCTATTATATTGTGGTCTGTCTCTTTAGCTCTAATAATATTTGCTTATGTATCTGGGTTCTCTGGTATTGGGTGTATACATATTTAAAATTTTGTTTTGTTTTCTTTCAATGTGTTTTTACATCAGCTTTACAAATCATTTTTAAATTGTTATATCCACTTGCTGAATTGGCCTCTTCTTCATTATATAGTGACCTTCTTTGTCTCTTCTTATAGGTTTTGTCTCAAAATCTAATTTGTTTGATGGATGTATAGGTACTTCTCTTCTTTTTTGGTTTCCATTGGCATGGAATATGTTTTTGCATACCTTTATTTTCAATCTATGTGTGTTTTTATAGGTTAAGTGTGTTTCTTGTCTGCAACAGATTATTTAATCTTGTTTTCTCATCTATTCAGTCACTCTATGTATTTTGATTGAAGAATTTAGTCTATTTACATTCAAGATTTTTACTGATAAGTAAGAACTTACTCCTGGCACTCGGTTATAGGTTTTCTGTTTATTCTGTCGTCTTCTCTTCCTTCTTTATTTCCTTCCTGAATTCCTTTTAGTAAAGGCGATATTCTCTGGTGATATCACTCAGGTTCGTACTTTTAATTTTTGTGTATCCATTGTATGTTTTTGTTGTTTGAAGTTACCACAAGGAGGCTTGGAAATACTGTCTTATAACCCATTATTTTAAGCTGCTGACAACACTGTTTGCATAAACGAACAAACAATCAACAGGAAAACTAATAAAAACTCTATACGTTAACTTCATACCCTCATTTTTTAACAATTTTTTGTTTCTATTTATATATTATTGTGCCGTCTATGTCTTGAAAAGTTGTTGCAGTTATTATTTTTGATTGGTTAAGTGTTTAGTCTTTCTACTTAAGAGTAGTTTACACACCACAGTTACAGTGTCATAGCATTCTGTGTTTTTCTATGTACTTACTGATTATTTCTTATTACGCATTAATATCCTTTTTTTCTGATTGAATTACTACCTTTAACATTTCTAGTAGGACATGTCTGGTGTTGGTGAAATCCTTCAGATTTTGTTTGTCTTGGAAACTTAATTTCTCCATGTTGCTAAGTGGCTAGACCAGAAGACAGACAACAATGACTGCAGTTTGGCTCACTGGAAGCCATATCCATAGGAAAAGGGGAAGAGTATGATATCAAGGGAACAACCTGTCAGACATAATAATCTAAACAACTGCCTTCAGCCCTAGACCTTCCCTCTGACAGAGCCTTTTTGGAGTGTCCCCTGGTCATGCAGGAGCAGTCCACCTGTGTTATTTTATTAATAAAATATTAAGAAGCCTAGATGTAGGCTCTGTGTGTGCTCGTTACTACTAACATGTTATTGTTTCTGTGTCCCCTCAGCTCAGAGAGCAAAGTAATGTACATGTGTATAATAAACTGTGAATATATGCTGGTCTATGAATTTGTATGTAACAATCTGTATGTATATTAAGTTAAAATTGAGTTGTCTAACCAGCAAAGAGTAAGAGTTTCTGCTGCTCCACATAGTCTCTAAACATTTTCAGAATTTTTTTTCTGTTTATTTTAACCATTTCAATATGTGTGTAATTGTACATCATTGTTGCTATAATTGGCAATTCATTAATCACATATCATTCTGAACATTTTTTGCTGTGTCTGTTTGCCAACAGCTTATTTTTAGTGAGGTGCATATTCAAATATTTTGCACATTTATAAATTTAACTGTTTGTCATTTTTTGTTGCGTTTTAAGAACTTTTTACATATTAAGATTCCTTAATCATATGTGAGCCAAAAGTATTTGAAATAGAATAAGTTTCAACATTCCATGCAATTATATAAAATTGGAACTATAATGTTTACAGTGAAGCATAGACGACATTACAGAGTAAGTCTTGAACTGATAGATGAAGAATGAACAATGAATTGTGAAAAAGAGGCTGAATTCAGGTGCTTACAGCATAGGAAGAATTGCTCAGGCATCAGGAAATAGGGAATATAAGAGATATTAAATAAAAGACTATGTGTGTAAAATAGACTGATGACAGATAAGAATGCAGAATTTTGCAAGTGTCAGATTTTGCTGAGGATTTTGTTTTTTTGTTTCAAGAAAAAGGAACAGATGACCAACATGATTAAATTTGTTCATCACAATAAGTTCACTATCTTCAATCTTAACATTTACTTGATTAAATAATGTATGGATGCAGAAATATTAATTACGAAATTATTGCAGTTGCACAGGTATAACTCCATGGTAGCTTGAACTAAGGTATTGTAAAAGTTAAAATCAGTGTGACTGATCTATATATTGTCTACATGGGGTAATGAGAGTTTTCCCCACATAAGACTGGAGAAATTTGGTGACTCATCTTGGAGTTTATTGTTAAGAAGAAATATTGAAGAATTTGTCAAATGCAATGGTAGGTGATGAGTTATTCTATGGACCAGAAAGTTGGGAGTAGATGTAAACCAGGAGGGTACAGTGTGAGAAACTCCAAGAAAAAAGTAGTTTAAGTAGGAACATATAGCCAATTGTGACATGTTTCTCAGTGGGGACATGGAATAATTACCAACAAGAGATTTAGAAACACTATATACTCTTCATTATGTCAAAAGGAGTCTGGGAGTTGTGAATATTGAACAGCAAGTGATCAATAATTATACTTTAAGATGCTATATTGTTTTGATATAAATATTAAAGATGTGTGTGTGTTTGTGGAAAGGAGTATGATATAATTTTGCAGTATTGATAAATCTTCCAGATTTTGAAACCTGAATTCCTAGGGCAGCATAGCAACAACCTGAATATTTTTAAAAATGTAATACAGAGAAGAAACTTGAAGATTAAGACATAATGATTGAGATTATAAAGCTTTAGGCCAAAACTTTTCCATATAGTACTTATCGCTAATGGGAATATTGTATTAGTGGTGAGGCTCAAGGATTTGTTTAGCACTCCTCGTGTATTTCTTATAAAACAATCTGGCTCTTTTCTTCCCTTACTCCACAGTGCAAACTTTCCTCTATATTCTAACATTAGAAATATTAGGTACTGTGCTCAATACCTGGGTGAAGAGTTCATTCACACCCCAAACCTCAACATCACACAAATGTACCTAGATAACAAAGCTACATATATACACTTTGAATCTAAAAAAAAGTTGCATAAATAAATAAATTTTTAAAAGAAAGATTAAACATATGAATACAAACACAAAATAAGAACATGAAGAAAAGAGAGCAATTACTGGAAACACATTTTCATACACTGATCTAATTAAAATATCAGCCAGGAATTTTATGGTATTGTTGTCTTTATCCTGGTCTCTGCTGTTTCTTATCAGGGAAAGCTCTAGATCTCCCCCAAGGATGGCAAAAAACACGTTTAAGTATATTTAGTTATTTTAATGCTAAAGATAACTTATTTCACCAAATAATGTTTTCTACTAGTCTAAGAGTTGGTAAAAAACATGATCTTAAGAAAAATGCAATTATTGTGTAGGAGCAGAATAAATTTTCTGCCTGAATCAAAACACAATATGAACTAAAATAATTTAGTTACTCAGGTTCTTTGCTTGCCATGTAATACTGCATTTTTACCTTACAGTAAACTTTCTGGAGTTGTTCATTAACTTTTTGTTGCTGCTATTGTTATTTGAAAAAGTAGCTTTTGAAAATATAAATATTCAGTGATATCCTACAAGGCACTTAATGTTCATAAAATCTTGTTAATATATTAATAGCCTTATTGCATATGGCCATAAAATTTCATCACTCTACATTGCCATGCCTAATTACAATTTAGGAGTCTTTTAAATGTAATCCAAAAGCAATGGGTTTCACACACTTGGCATATTGATATGACTCTGGACAAATCAAGCTTGAAATATATTAGTGTAAATTACATTCCCCACAGTGGTGTCTTATTTGTTCTGTCTCCATTATTTGTCAAGTCTCCACAGTGCATAAAATACTATTATGATATATTGAGCAATGAAAGTCAAGATCAGTCAACATTTATGCAACACTCAAATGAAAACTGAAAGAGAAAAATAAATGAATCTCACCAATAATCAAATAGGATTTTATATATACTTTACAATTTTTGATAAACATGGTTGTTAGTGTATAAAATTTATGTATGCAAATTAGCAAAAGTTATACCTTCTGGTTTTTGAGATAGAAAAAAAAACAGAATCTTCGAGAAGATTAGATATAAGGAACTTAATTGACAAGTGAGCTTAGGTTAAAGAGCCTTCGCAGTGGTCTGGTAGCTAAACCTCTCAAAATAATCTGATATTATAGAGTTTGTAAAACTGTGAATTATTAAATGTGACAAAACCGTATTATAGATTTATCTCTCCAATGTTTTATGTTTATCATCCAATATTGAATCACTAAGCACAAAAATTGCAAGTGAACACTCAACTTTTAAAATATTCATTGTAATTTAGAATTGTTATGAAATGTCTACTACTTAACACACTTCAACTGAATTAATAATCATTTTCAACTTGTGCTATAAAAAGCTTAATTTCTTGTCAAGATATAGAATACATTTCAATGAAAGAAGAAAAATTAGTTGAATTTAAAATTTTTAGTTATTTTCTCATGCCAGAATACAAGCTGTGTGCTTTATTATCTCTTTAAAACCTATTGTTAGTATGTAATCTTTCAAATTATGTATCAAATCAATGAAGTAATAAATCAGACATTTTTATATTTTGTAAAAATAGATTTTTATATTTTATGGGGAATAGATTTAACTGAATTACTTTAAAAAGCAAAATAAATAAATTTTACAAAGAATTGTTCTAATATAATAAACAAATATTTGAATATGTGTAACTAATTTTTAAGAAAATTTTTGACACAACATTTCTCTTTTAGCATACAAAGAAACACAAACTAGCAAAAACTATTTGTCCGATGATGAAATACCTGTTTATCGTCTTACACTCTACTAATTTAAATTTTAAAAGCAAAGCTGTTTGGGTTGGAAAATGAGTGTATTTATAAATATCACCTGCATTTTTTTAAGTCTGGCTTGTTAAAATTCTCAACTGACATGTCTATACTAAAAGCTAAAATTATACTTTTTCTAATAATGTATTTTATGCATATGGAATGAGCCATTCATAAACCAAGAACATTTTTAGAAAAGTGATCAAAGCTGTTATCGAATATTAAGTGGCTACCATAAATGGTTGTTTTTCCACTTCCTACTGTTTAAAGAGTCAAACTGATAAGTATATTTTTAAAACGTTATATTTCAGATGAAAATAAATAGCATTTCTAAATTCAAATATCTATTTGACAGTAATATAGTCAACATTTAGGAGGTGATAATTTAATTTCTATCCCTTAATGACTAGATTCTCTGAAAGGATTTGTGTATACTTTCAAAGATTTATCATTATATTTCTTGATTCCTCCAAAATCTGAAATTCTGTTTGCTTTAAACTGTTGTAAATTTGTGCGATGATTAAAGAGCCAGACAATACCATTTCACCACTGACACTTTAATTAACCACTGCTTACATTATTTTTACCATCTAAAAAATAAGTATAATAATATCACTTCTTCCATGGGGTTGTTTTGAGTGGGATACTAAAATACAAATAGGTGCACAATTCATATCTAATGCATTACAGATTGCATTGAGTTTGTTAATAATTTAGGGTTAAGGGTTTTTCCCACTACTCATTAAATCCATCACTAAAATACCTGACTGAAGTTCTTCAAGCTTGTTAGTCTAATGGTAGGGCAGCAACAGAGATGTTTTGTTATAATGCGTCACTTCAAAGAATGTTTGTCCAATAACACACAAAATTGGGAATGCAATATCATGTGAGTTTTACAGGGGAGTCTAAAATAAAGTAATAGGGGCCAGGCGGGATGGCTCACATCTGTAATTCCAGCACTTTGGGAGTCCGAAGTGGGCAGATCACTTCCTCATAAATTTGGAAAGGAGAGCTTTATTTCTCATATAGGTTGCAGCCTGCAAGGTGGCCATTCTGACAGGCTGGGAAACATAGCCTCAGTTTGGAAGTCAAAAACAGATACTTCAAGGGAGGGGAAACAGGAACAAGAATTTATGCTGAGTGGAGTGACCAAACATCCATATTTAATAAATGATAGGAGGAGTCATGAATATTTGTGAAGAGAAAATCATGCAAATGTGCAATTGAGCTCTATGCCCCTCCATGGATCCCATGTACAAAAAAAAATGTGGTGTTAATATGATCTGAGAATGGAACTTTGGGTTCTCTGACATGAAAAAGGTGAAGCAGAGGAAATGAAAACTCTTACTTCACATTCTCTGTAGACTGGCCAGAAGCACTCTGTGGTTAGCAGAGTGCTTCTGACCACATATCTTATCAGGCAAAAAAGGATAAGCATATCTTATCAGGCAAAAAAGGAGGAGCAGAGTCAGGTTGTTGTTTAATACCAGTGACAGAGTCTTTTGAAAGGACTGGTTTCTATTCAACCCTTAGAGAAGAAAGGCTAATGACGGTTAGTGAGAGAGTAGATATAAGAAGACATGTCTGATCTCTCATTCCATCATGGCTGAGAAATTAGTTTTCAAGGTTTCTCTGGGGTCTCTTTAGCTAAGAGCATTTCTGTCCAAGTCGCTTGGGGGCCTTAGGATTTCTTTTTTTTTTTTTTCTCAGGGGTGAACAGAATTCTCATGATTGTTAAACTGAAAGACAATCAGAAAAAATATATATTTCTTTTTATCTACCTTTCAAGATTCAACCTGTCTCACATTTCCGTTTCCAAGATTTAGTATGATTTTTTGATGATATAAATTGCATGAAAGCATAGCTAGAGGTTTCTATTTTTTCTACTTTTTGTGGGAGAAGGATTTGATGCTTCTCTTGTTGCTGCCCACTTGATTTACAAACTAGTTTGTCATAGACTGCACTCTTGTCTTCAGGGTATAAGAAATTGCAGGCTTATAGTTAGTTGGGAAAGGTGAGGAACTGTAGGTTAGGTGTCCATAAAATATATGTGGGAAGTTAGGCTAAGACAGTTGTACCATGAAGTTTAGAGAGATGTGTGAATATTTTTGCTACGATCACATTTTATCATTTATTACATGCTTTAAAACTGTGAGCTTTATCACACACACAGAGAGGGAGAGAGAGAGAGAGAGAGAGAGAGAGAGAGAGATTTTCCTTTGTGTGCCCTTGGCTTACTAAAAATCCCGATGTTTCACTGCAGCTGTAACTACAGGACCAGCCCAAACTGGCTCTACTCTGTTATTAACAAAATGTCATGTTATCTCGTGGGTATAACTGCCCAAACTGCAAGTACTATAGGCCCTGCATGCAGAATAGGAAGAGCTTTGACCTCTAACAACACCCAGAAGCAACAATGTCTCTCCATGGAACTAAAAAGACCAGGACATGACTAGAACATGACCACTGAGTTCTTTCAGAAGTGAGAGGTGTGTTGGCCAGGAAGATCCAGGATTGAAATCCACCTCAACATACCTTACCATAAATAGCCAAATGTTATGCCCTGTAATAGATCCCTGCCCAGGTAAATTCGCAAATCCTTTCCTTTGACCTCCAACTTCTTAAAACTTGCCCCAGCCCCCAAATTGGAGAGATACGTTTGAGCCTGACTCCTATCTCCTTGCTGGCTGGCCTTGCAATAAGATCTTTATTCAAAGCTGCAGTATTAAGTTCTATGTGCCTTGAGCAGCAATCTCATTTGCTCAATAACACAGCTACAAAAAACAAAAAAAAAGAAATCTAGTGATGTTAGCCTACATTAGTTGAATCAGAATTTCAAGAACATGGAAGATAGTGTCACAGTTCTTTGTTTAGTTAAAACTATACATGTATTCTCTTCAATTTCCTATGTAGTGTTGGGGTTTCAGTACACTAAAATGAAGGCCTCAGAGGCAGCCTCAGAAGTAAAATATTTTTACTGACCTTCTCCTGCCCACCCCTCTCTCAGACCCATTATCCCCCAAGACTTGCCATAAGAAGCTAGAATGTCTCTTTCCCAAGGCAGGTCATAGAAATCAAAACTCTTTTTCCCCAAAGCCAACCATAAAACCTAAGAATATTTGTCTAACTTTCCCTCCTCCTTTCTGTATGAAAACTGGCCATAAATAAATTATCTAACCTAACTTGTTTGACTATAGGTCAGAAGACCCCTCTTCCAGAGAGGGCTCTGCCTCACACCCAGAAAAATGGAATGCATGCTCAGAGAGGCCAAGAAGAATCTAGGCAGACAGGCCTTGTTGCGTTTTCCTAGTCTGTCTTTTAACATTAGGTCTTACCCTTTTTGTCCAATCATATTTCTACATGTCCGTCTATACTTTGTTGAACCTAAACATAAAAATGGGCAATTTCCCCTGTATCCTTGAGTCTTCATTCTGAAGGCTCCCATGTATACACATTAAATATGTCTATATGCCTTTTATTCTTAAACTGCCTTCTGTGAATTGATTTTTCGGTGAACTTTTAGAAGGTTGAGGGAAATTTTCCCATTTGGCCCCTACCATAGCAATCTTAACAAATGCAGTCATATAATAAGATATATCTGAAAGATTTCAACAAGAATTTTGGTATATCTACAATGGACATGTTACAAACTATGAAAGATAATTGCGTATTCCTCACTGGATTAAAAAAAAATTAGAATTTAGAAATTTAGAATATGGAATCATGCTGTTTTTTAACGTATGCACTGTGTATGCTTATATATATATATTTATAGATGTATACAAGTAAATATGCAAAGAACATTTATAATTTCTCAGATGTTGGTCTGGCAGGATTCCTGCTTTGAATAGGTCAAGTTTGATTTTATGCTGACTCTTTATTTCAGTTTTGACCTCCTAGATTCAGAAATGGAGGCTCTGAAGAAAATCAGTCTCCCCACTAAGCACATCCCGAAGTGGTCTGTCAAACACAGATGCATGATGATTTCACTCTAATCTCCAGTATCCCGTTTCATTGTTATTCTAAGCCTCTTCAGAAATGAAACCATAATGACTATAATTTTACTTGAATGGAACTTGATTTAAATAAGAGCTGCATCACTACTTTCCCACTCTTTCTTGAATATGTAAAGATCGTTTTTCTTCAGACCTTTATGTTGCCTATTTCTCTGCCTGGAATGCTTGGCCTCTTCAAACTCAATTGTTTGGCTCTTTCATGGTCACCCCTCTGACTTATACCACTGCCCCTGAAATTGAATTATATTACTTTGTTATATTTTATTCTCATATAGTCATTAGAGGTATTTTGTTGATTTGTTTGTTTATTATGCATCTTCAAGATCAAATGTAAATTTTATGAGAATAAGGACCTGGTATTGTTTATTCACTGCTTTAAAGGCCAGTATAGTGCCCTCTAGAGGATAAGTGCTCAAAACTATCGGTTGAATGAAGAAATTTAATGCATATAATGATTATTATATAACCAGTAAAATCTGCTTCATAAAACTATAGAGAGTAATTTTTATCACTGATATTCTCGTGTATTAGGAGTTTACTTCACAGTAAGTTTTTGACTTCTTTAAGCTTCTGCTAACTTGAAATAGAAATCTTAATTGTCTGTAAATATTTAAGTGCATAAATGTGTAAATAAATATATAAATATCCCAGGCTTCGCAACATATCTTTACTTATAACAGTTTAACCTGTGTACAAGAAAAAAAAAACTATCTTTTTAATATTCCAGCTAGGACTTATTCAACAAAAAGTCTACTAAGGAAAACATGTTTCAATGAATGAATGACATTGTTTTCATACAGTCTTTCACAGAGTGAGAATAATCTAAGCTATTTAAGATAAATCAACATTAAATTATCTTCCCCAAGTCACTTTAGCTAATATTTCTGTATATATCAGAAAGAAACTATTCAAGGTGTTTTTATAAAGTTTTCTTTTATTCTGAAAATAAATGTAAATTTTAAAAAATAAACCTATTTCCAATTCAATCAGAAAATTAACTCATTCTTTTTTTATTAATGTGTTCAGAACTTGCTGAGATCAAGACATTATACAAATTGGATATCAATTATTTTCCTAAAATTGTTCAATATTTTTATCATTCTTGAGAAAAAACTCAAACATATTTGAAGTATATAAAAGACTGTCAATATCAGCTTTGCCTGCCTTTCGGCATTATCACCTGGCACACTCACCTGCCACCAAACCCCACGCTCACTCTGTTCTAGTCATAGTCATGCTCAAGTACGTCAAGTTACATGAACCTTGCATAATCATTTTCACCACTACTCAGATTTTACTATAGCTATAATCACTTTTATTTCTCAGATATCTAACCTTCAGGCCTTAGATCAAATTAGTCCTCATCTATGAAGGACTCCCTGATCTCCTCATGCTTCTGCTTATGGGATAGAACTTTGGGAAAGCTTATGTGAAATTAACTGTTTACAGGTCAATGTCTCTCAACTTCAAGAGCCTTGAAAGAATAAGGAATTTCTTCTATCCTTCATTAAATGCCAAGGAGTAATGAATTGTGAAGTGAAAGGCTTTAAAAGATGCATTTTAGTAGATGGCTTGGGACTAGGTCTACAAGGATATAGGTAGGCTTTCTGTCTCTTAAGTAATTACAATCCTAATATAAGAGGAAAGGGGGTATAATACAAACACAAGGAGATATATATATATTATATATCTATATATATATATATAGATAGATAGATAGATAGATATCTAATATATAGATAGATAGATATATCTATCTATATAGATATATCTAATATATAGATAGATAGATAGATAGATAGATATAATGCATTAGTGGAAAGTTTAGTGACACAGAAATCAGAAGAGTATCTTTCATAGCTAGAGTAGAAATTCAACTGTGAAATATCAAAAAACTACCTATTGGGTACTATGCTCACTACGGGTTAATGAAATAATTTGTGCACCAAACCCCAGCAACATGTAATTGATCCATGTAACACACATGCACACGTGCCCCCTGAACCTAAAATAGAAGTTGAAAGAAAAAAACCAAAACCAAAAGTAAAATAAAATAAAACAAAACAATCTGTTAGATACTAAAACAAGAACAAAACGAGTTATGAATTAAAGAAGAAGGAGGGCATATCTGAGGCCAATTTTGGGGAAAGCATGAAGAAACAACTTTTACATGTAGAGTTGGGGAAAGATTACTATTTTACTAGGGAGTAATGAGGGCTCAACTAAATCATAATTAGAAATAGATCAGACTGAATAGTTTTATATAATAAAGAAATTTTTAATAAAAAATGATTGACTGCTTATTAATATAAGGATGATGTGGGATACTTTGAAAATCCTACTTTGAAGTTTACGTATCAATTTTTATTACACAAAACTCTTTCTCCATAGATATATTCCTCCTCACAATAAAATTGGGGATATCAACCTTAAATTGTAGTTAACTGGCAGAAATATCAAGAGCATCCAATTCATAGATGAAAGTTCTGGGAATTTATGTCAAGTCTATCTGCACCCAAAGTTATTTTAAATAAAAATTCTCTCAAAGACAAAACCAATAAGACTTCTGTTATCTATAATCTATAAATTAAATGTGGAGAACATATTTTTGCTTTGAAATATGTTAACCAAAAATACGTACAGCTTTTTAAACTCATAGTTTGCTTTTAAAATCCTGTATTCAATTGTTTCTGAACTAGACAAATATAATTTTATATAACCATGAAGAGATGTTTTACCAAATAATCACTTTAAGTATCCACTATATGAATAGAGATAGAATAAATTTTTCTATCTTCATATGAGGCATTTAAAAAATATTGTTATTTTACAATTACATATAAGTGGACAGTTCTATATATTGTGCTAATTTACATATTCTTGACAATATACTTTTTAAAATTCAATAAACATTTATTAAGTGTTACAATATTCAAGACATGGCCTGGAATCTTAGGCTTGCTTTGTTTCATAGTTTAAAATATTGTTAATTATTATAAATATATAATCATTGTACATATATATGGGGTACATATGATATTTTAATAAAAGCATACAATGTGTAATGATCAACAGAGTAATTGAGATATCCATTACATCAAGCATTTTTATTTCTTTCTGTTAGAAATATTCTACTCTCTTCTTGAGTTCCCTTTTTTAGCTCCCACATATAAGTAAGAATATGCAATATTTGTCTTTCTGTGCCTGACATATTTCACTTAACATAATGACCTCCAGTGGAATTCATGTTGTTGCAAATGACAGGATCTCAGTCTTTATTATGGCTGAATAGTACCTCACTTTATATATGTACCACATTTTCTCTATTTATTCATTCATTGATAGACATTTAGGTTGCTTTCATAACTTGGCTATTGTGTATAGTGCTGCAATAAACATGGGAGTGCAGATATCTCTTCGATATACTGATTTCCTTTTGTTTGGGTATGTACCCATCAGTGGTACTGCTTGATCATATGGTAGTTCTATTTTTAGTTTTTTGAGGAACTTCTCTACTCTTCTCCGTAGCGGTTATACTAATTTACATTCCCTCCAAGAGTGGGAGTTCTCTTTTCTCTACATCCTCACCAACATTAATTGTTGCTTTTCTTTTTGATAAAATTCTTTTTACTGTGGTGAGATGATGTCTCACTGTAGCTTTGATTTGGATTTCTCTGATGATTAATGATATTGAACATTTTTTATTTGCTTATTGGCCGTAGGAAACAGGCAACAAAATGAAGAGACAATCCATAGAATGGGATAAAATATTTGCAAACTGCACATCTGACAAGGAACACATAACCAGATTATATGAGGAATGTAAATAACTCAACACAGAAAAAAAAATCTCATTTAAAAATGGGCAAAATATCTGAATAGACATTTCTCAAAAGAAGACATATAAATGGCCTACAATGCACATTTTTAAAATGCTTATTATATGATATACAACTGTCTATAGAGAAAAGCAAATTTGCATTTTGTCTTAGACTTAAAAAAGGTAGCTATTAACAATCTATTTGCCAGGAAACTCTTTAATATGCAAAAAATTGTTTACAGGTCAATCCCTCTCAACTACATGAGCTTCGGAAGAATAAGAAATTTCTTCTATTCTTCATTAAATACTGAGCAGGAATAATAATGCATTGTGAAGTGAAAGGTCTTAGAAGACACATCTCAGTAGATGGCTTGGGACTAGGTCTATGAGGATATAGGTAGGCTTTCCGTCTCTTAAGTACTTACAGTCCTTATATAAGAGGAAAGGGGGTACAATACAAATGCAAGGATATATATATATATATATATATATATATATAATTTTCTTATTGTTCTGGAGACTAGAATTTCAATATCAAGATAGCAGCAGGTTTTGCTTTTTGTAAAGCCTCTGTCTTTGGCTTGCAGATAGCTAGCCTCACTGTGTCCTCACGAGGTCTTTTCTCTATACATTCACTTGTCTTCTTATGGGGACACCAGTCGTTGTATTAGAACACACACATATGGCCTCATTTTACTTTAATTACCTTTTTTAAAGTCCCCATCTCTAAATATAGTTACATGCTGAGATAGTATTTCAACATATATATTTTGGGAGAAAAAATTCAGCCCAAAACACTCTATCTTCTGGTCCCACATAATTTATGTTATTCATATGAAAGGACATATGACAGGATTTTATGAAAAATATAGTCACTCTATCTCAACAGCCACACAAGTCTTAACCCATTTCAGCATCAACTCTAAGTCCAAAATATCAACTAAATATCATCTAAGTTATGGGTGATACTCAAGGTCTGATTCATTTTAAAACAAAATTACTCTCTAGCTATGAGCCTGTAAAACCAGACAACATACAATGCTTCTGAAATACAACAGTGGGGTAGTCATTGGATAAATATTACCATTCCAAAAGGGAAAAAAATAAAAGAAGAAAGAAATCGTGGGTCCCTAGCATATCTGAAACCTAGCAGGGCAATTTTTATTCAATTTTAATGCTTCAAACATCCTCTTTAGCTCAATGCTTTGTTCTCTTAGTCCACAAAAACCCTGCCTTCTGTTCCCGTAGGGGTGGTGGCCCTTGGTGCTAGGCAGTGCCTTCAATGCTTTGTGTATAAATCTCCTCAGCTAAATGTCCAAGTTAATCACTTGCAGTTCTGTCATCCACTAAACACTAGAAAACACTTCAGTCAAGTTCTTTGCCACTTTATGATAAGGATCATCATTCCTCCAGTGTACAATAAGTTGTATGTTCCTCATTTCCACTGGAGGACTCACCATGAGCACTTTTGTCATCCATGTTTCTACCAAAAGTCTCTTCAGGGAAACCAAGGCTTTTTCTAACATGCATCTCAAAAATTCTTGCCTCTACCTGTGGATCTATTTCAAAGTCACTTCCACATTTGAGGTATTAGTTACAGCAGTACTCTGCTTCCTAGTACCAGTATGTGTATTCGTATTGGTTCTCCAAATAGACAACCAAAAGGATGTACATATTTATACAAAGAGGAATCTATTTTTAAGGCATTGGCTCACACCATTGTGGAGGCTTAGCAAGCCCAAACTCTTCACAGTAAGCAGTGGACTGTAGATACAGGAAAGAGTGGCAGTTTGAGTCCAAAAGTAACAGGCTGTCAGAAGTCCCTCTTCTTCGGTAAGGCCAGTCTTTTTCTATAAAGGCCTTTGATTGGTTGAATGAAGACCATGCAAATAATGGAGGATAATCTGCTTTGCTCAAAATCTACTGATTTAAATGTTTTTGTTTTATTTTTATTTTTATTTTTATACTTTAAGTTTTAGGGTACATGTGCACAACGTGCAGGTTAGTTACATGTGTATACATGTGCCATGTTGGTGTTCTGCACCCATCAACTCATCATCTAACATTAGGTATATCTCCTAATGCTATCCCTCACCCCTCCCCCCGCCCCCACCCCACAACAGGCCCCGGTGTGTGATGTTCCCCTTCCTGTGTCCATGTGTTCTCATTGTTCAATTCCCACCTATGAGTGAGAACATGTGGTTTTTGGTTATCCAGAATCTACAATGAACTCAAACAAATGTACAAGAAAAAAACAAACAGCCCCATCAACAAGTGGGCGAAGGATATGAACAGACACTTCTCAAAAGAAGACATTTATGCAGCCAAAAGACACATGAAAAAATGCTCATCTTCACTGGCCATCAGAGAAATGCAAATCAAAACCACAATGAGATACCATCTCACACCAGTTAGAATGGCGATCATTAAAAAGTCAGGAAACAACAGGTGCTGGAGAAGATGTGGAGAAATAGGAACACTTTTACACTGTTGGTGGGACTGTAAACTAGTTCAACCATTGTGGAAGTCAGTGTGGCGATTCCTCAGAGATCTTAAACTAGAAATACCATTTGACCCAGCCATCCCATTACTGGGTATATGCCCAAAGGATTATAAATCATGCTGCTATAAAGACACATGCACACGTATATTCATTGTGGCACTATACACAATAGCAAACACTTGGAACCAAGCCAAATGTCCAACAATGATAGACTGGATTAAGAAAATGTGGCACATATACACCATGGAATACTATGCAGCCATAAAAAATGATGATTTAAATGTTTATCTCTTCTAAAAAGTCCCTTCGCAGAGACATCTGCAATAATGTTTGGAAAAATATCTGAGTATCATGGGCTAGCCAAGTTGACATATAAGTCAACCATGGAATCTGTGTGTTTGTTCTCTATTTTTCCTATTAAGCAGACTCCTATCACTCAAAGTAATGCTAACTAGCATAAAAACTGTACTCATAACAACAAAGTACGTGATCATTTGGAAATCAAACATGTTTTCAAATAAAAAGAACTATTAAAAATTATGATTTTTTTGGAGAAGAAAAAATTATTGAGATAAATTTAGAACTTCAACATTAGAAAAGACCCAATCTCATAACTTGATTTATTAATTACTGTAATTATGTTTAATAGATACTACATGAAATTTATAATCTTGGCAAAGACACATGTAAAATATATTTTTGTTCTAACGTAGACTCTATACCAATGAGATAGGAATTAATTGATTTAGATATTGTAAAATAATAATAAAGAGCATGCTTTTACAGAATTAGCTGAATAAACCAGATGTCTCCGCTACATTTTTAATTTTATTTTTATTTTCATTTATGTGTATCAACTACTCGATTACTATAATTTATTTTTTATTATGCTATCATTTTAAAATTCATGTTAGCTTTTAAAATAATTTTCCTTGACTTTTATTATTTATTCTATGGTTAAAAATAGTTTTTGTTATTTAGTGTTGATAAGATGATGACAGTAGTCAGTGGTGTTTAATGGACTTTTCTAACTTGTCCCTCATTATTCTTGCAGTGTTTTCTGACACCTGATAAATGGAAAACAACTTCAAAAGCACTTAGCCATGTAAATAACTGTGCTAAAAGCATTATTAAAAATTTTGAAATCCAGAGCCACATTTAGTCACAACTATAGAATGCAAAAATTATCAACCCTATCATCAGCACTTAGCTACTTGTAAATGATGACTTACCAAAAATTTATTTGATCCTGAAAAACAAGTTGCAGGCAAAACCAAGTTTTGTGTGTATGTGTGTGTCAAAAGTAGTTGAGAAACAAGTGACTCAAGGAAAACATACTTTTTGTGAAGCACAGAATTTATATTTTTATAAGATGTAATAAATCATTCTATGTTTTCCAAATGTTTCCATTTATTTTCCCTGTGAATTACATTTAATTTTTCAAACTATTATTTGAACGTCATGTGTGTCATTTTTCATGCTATTTTCAGCAAAAGTTATGCCTACTTATTATTAGATTCCCTGTGCTTGTTGAAAGTTTAGGTGGGAGAAGATACTTTAATAAGCCAAATCAATAGGGCAATTCCTGATGCTATTGGTCTTGCAAGAGTTGCAACTTGGATGTTCATCTTTTATAAACACTTAACAAGCAGCATTGAGAGATGCTCTTTGAGGTAAAGATAAGCACACCTTTCCTATTAGTTCCTTTTGAGCTCTAGTTTGTGTAAAGTACATAAAATGTAAGTACATAAATGCTGGGAATTTTCTCTATGTGTTTTTTTTTTAATTGTAAGGAAATGTGTTTGGGGGACTGTTATTGGAGATTCCTAGTGTTAAGAGTCATGGGATTAATTTTTAGTTTCTATTCAATAAGAAGAAACAGGATATGCAGTGTTGAAAATAATATCTATACATGGAGATCTCCTTAACTGAAATGTCCCATTCCTTTCACATGCAAATCCACAACAAACAATAGTTCATATCAATTTGCTTTCATTGGTCATAGCATAACTTTGGGTTGCAAGATTTTTAGTTTGAATCAGAGGTATGCCTTTTACTAGTGGATGAAATTATAGAAGTTAACTCCATTTCTCCATTTTCTTGTTCCCTGGCCAAAATAATATTCACATATATGGATTCAGATTTTATAATGATAAGATTTTGTTTAAATATTTAGGAAAAGTTAAGAATTAATATAATGTCAGGTACAATGAGAGCACTTAACAAGCATTTATTACATTAATTTCAAAAAGTGATCCAAATAATTTAATGCACTAAATTTTCATCAAATCACTATAGAATGCTGAGTATATGCTCGTCACATATTACACTTATTTGTGTGACATTTAAGAGCAAAACAATTTTTCTTTGTTAGTTGTTCATTTACATATGTGTCATGGCAGCTCTATCATGCTACTGCTTTTCCCATTTTATCATAGTCTACATCCCTTTTATAAATTAAGCAATTTATTTAGCCATAGAGTTAGATTTTGGTTTTGTATATTGAAATGGTCTTTGGGATTTTCTGTAAGAAAACAATTTTTTTGGCCTTGTATACTTCTGGGAAATGGCTGAGTATCTAATTATGTAAATGTGCTTAGAATATTTCCCAGGATAAATTATAGACACTTCTAAAATAATATAATGACAGGAGACATATAGACAGTGAAATTAGTTCAAAACTGTATAATCAATTACATCAATAGTGATTACTATGTTTATGGGTGAAATGTTACTATAGGATTTGATTATCACCAGAATTATACTGTAAACATTCTTTTTTATCTATACTTGCTCTCTCAGCATTATGTTTTAGAGATTCATTCATGTGGTTGTCACTGGCAATAACTTGTTCAATTTCTTTGATGAATAGTATTCCATTGTATGAATATGCCACATCCTATTGTTGATGAAAATTTGTCTTGTTTTCAATTGAGGTTACAAAAGTGCTGCTAGAAAATGTTTTATTAATGTTGTAGCTGACACTGTTGATGCCCACTCCATATTATTTGGCCTGCCTCTGTTTTCACTGCAAGTTGTAAAATATCAGCTATATTTAGAGTTTTTAAAATCGCATCCATCTGTGTATTTTGACTTATTTTTCCAGAGTCTTTTTCTAGAACTGCATAGGCTTTTCCAATGCAAGTAGGGCAGCTTGGTATACCAAGAATTTAACACCCAAGGAAACCAGCTACTGTGACGTATGGAGGTTGGTGGATACATTTTCAGCTTTCCTATCTGATGGGAAGTCATTCTGATGTATTTCAACATAATACCCAGGAAATCCCCAAAAGGATGGAGTTCCACATGCCCCAACAATATCCTATTCATTAACACATTTATTGGCTTTAGCATTACTACATTTCTGGTCTGACTTTTGACAGACATTTACTTGTGCTTTTGGAGGCCTTCATTCACATAATCTTGTCTGTACATTAGTCCCAGTCTCAATATCTTCTTTTAGAGAAAACTCAATCTAAGATAATTGGCATTAAAAGTAACCTAGAATTTACCATCTCAGAAACAGACATTGTATTTTGAAGTCAGTTGATGTGAATGATTCCTTATTGGTAGTAAGTGGGTGGATTAGTATGTTAGGAGGCTCCAGCAAGTAGGTGTAGTTAGTTAGGAGTCTTCAGCAAATAGGAGGTATATTACAACAGACAGATGTAGCCCTTTTTTCCTTGCTAGAACACAACAGGCTCCTGCTCCCTAAAAATTTGTTATGGACTCTCAGCAAAGACAAATACCTCAAGAGATGATATCCTTATTTAGATTCAAGTTACTATCCTGCTTTACTCTTTGGCAGATAACTAGGTTCTTAGCATAGTCTAAACAGAGAAGTGCAGTCCTAACCATGAGGGAAATAATTTACTTATGAAAATAACTGCAGGATTTGGCTAATACCCACCTGTAGGAGTCCAGGGAAAGTGTATGAAAGTGGGTCTTGAGAATGTTAAACAGAGATGCCATGTAATATTAGAGAGATGCTACTGATATGGGAGCATTCAGCCTTGACTCAAAATCTAATATCCAATACATTTGAATCTTCAAAAAAACGATAGCCTACAGTGAATGTCATAAAGAGATTGAGGCTGTTTTTGCAGAATGTTGCGGGAGGGAGGGTCAGAAAGCTAAATGGTGTTAGTATTTCTATATAAATTAAGAAAAAAAGATAACAGTGTCTGACTCTCTTCTCCAGCAGGCCTGGGAATACACATTCTTTTCTAAAACTGTGAGGAATGCAATGAACAAAAAGGCACCAGAGTAGTTGAGAAACCAAGTGGTGACTCTTTTCTATATAAAGGCACCATAGTGGAAGATGTTGCCATGGAACTCATGTGCTCACTAATAGCAATAGGCGTGACAATATTTTGTAATAGCAGAATTCAGGCATGGATTTTATTGTCAGAGGCAAGATGGATATAATTAATAAAATGAGCTACAAGGCAAGAATGACAAAGAGAAAATGTGATCCATAGAAATTTTTGGTAATAGATAATAGAGCATGGTATTGAATGACAATGAAGATGCCATTTATCTTAAATAATCTAAAAGAATCAAGAGCTAGCAAACATAAAACTACTAACAATTGCTATGATGGAAGATCATAGAGCATCAATCAGTTTCCAGAGCTGTGTCCATTTCACACCTAAATCATATAAAGGAAGGTTAGACCTCTTTCGGGAAGAATCACATAATACCTACTACAAGTATATAGAAAAATTATTCTTAAATCTTCTACAAAGTAATAAGTAAATATTTACTGGAGTGACAGTAAATTAGAAGAAGAGGAAACACAGACCCACAAGGCCTGTTGAATATAATGTTAAATTTACAATTGATACCAAGATACTTGGAATGACATAATGCACTCCTCCTTACGCATTAGATGCAGTCCTCTCTGGAGGCCATGCCTCTATGTGTGTCATGGATCTGTGAAACTACTCTGTGACTGTTTTCCTATCCCCAAATGCATAGGTGCAATGGGTATGCATAATAGTTGCCAAAACTCAGATTTCTTAACTCAGGGACTAATAGCCATTATGGAAGGAAAACTAAGTAGAGTGCATAAAACTGCCCACAGCCCCTAGACAAGAAAGTAACTCAGAAGCAAGGTGGCATCCACTTATGCAATCTTACTACATATGACTAGAGATAGATGAAGGGGAAAATACTGTCAGTTCTATGGCAGTCTTCTGACTGAACTTGATAGTCCTACCCTCAGGATGGGGAACACTATATGAAAACTAATGACAAATGGAAAGACGGATAAATGCTTTCTAATAAAAAGGGAACAAATAAATGGATCATTCAAAAATGAAACAGTATTACTTTAGTGTGTTGTGAAAGGTTCTGAATGAGATATTATCTCCGAGCTGTGTTTACAGATGGTCATAAATGTAAAGCTATTTCCTTCTATTGATTGAAGTTGAAGGTCCAGGATGGTCCCAGTGAATTTAATTATTCAATCTGGAGTCATCTATGTAATGTGTCTTAATGACACTGACAGCACTTTGTAGTGAACACTTGGAATAATTCTGAAGTTGATTTGTATTTCAATTTCCATTATACAGTTTACAGCTATTAGAAAAGGCTCTTGTGGAAGGTAATGAGTGGGAACTGTTATATGTGCACCAAAAATTGCTTTGAGTAATAGAAACTCAAGATTACTATGTAACTGTTAACCTCCGTGATGACCTGTGGATAAAGATGTCTATATATGGTGTACATATCTAGATGTCTATCCAGATGGAATATTTGTTGAATGCCTGGCTTCTCATAGTATTATAGGCCTTAATGCCTATAGTCCAATGTGTGTGCATATTGTGGAGAGGTGTGGATAGAGGGAAATAATCAATATGAAGAGTAACTAGCATACAGAAGTCAGTATCAGGGTCAGGGTCAATTTCTAGGCTCATATACCTTCTTCTAATAGTCTCAATATCCAGAAATGGTGCCTATGGGAATCTTTTTGGCATGCATAAAATGCATATGTCTAAAGTATATTAGAATGCATAGACTAAAGTATATTTGGGCTTGACTTCTGCGCATCTGACATAATCGTTCCTAAGAAACGATTAAGTTTACCAACCTAATATGAAAAAATGAATACCGGCATGTCCAAAAAGAATTTGGATCTGGAATAAACTTAATATTTTTTCTCCTTGATTTACATCCCAATCCATGACAGCAGTTGGTAAATGAGCAGAGTTGTTTTTGTTAAGAAGATCAATAAATACTATTGTTAATTATAACTGATTTAATTTTTTAATGATACATATATAACCAATATGTAACTGCGATTTAGTGTAATCCTAGTGTAATTGGTAAGATTAATTTGATTGGTCTCAACAAAACATTTGATATTACTAATAAAATATTTAAAAAATTAAAACTTTTACAAGATATTTATCCAATAAAAACTAATTTAACAGAGGAGGAAATATAGATGTTTAATAATAAATTAATTGTTTTGTCAGTCTGTTGGTTTGAACTTCAACAAAGTTTAAATCTCAATAATGAAAAGAAGTAAAGAGTTAAACATAATTATTAACCAATTTTTGCTGGAATGTTTAGTAAACCAAAATTTGTTAAAGCAATATCTCATTTGTCAATACAGATCATTAGTATTTTGACAGTTATTCTTTTTTTCTTTTTCTATTCTATAAATACTACAAAAGATTGACCATAGATGATTTATAATTAAAAATTCTGGGCCAAGAGTCAAAGGGCAGATTATGGAAAATACAATGGATTTATAGCTTAGAATCTATGCTTGGAAAAATTGTTAATGATATCAAACCAGGACATCTTTAAATGTGTAAGAAGTAATCAAATTTATGACTCACTCCAACAATAAAAAAAGAAGCTTTGCAGATAAATTTTCCAAAATGAAAAACTGCAAGATAGCCACATTTTGTTATTTAAATTTATATTGATTATAGCTAAATAAAAATAAATAATATTTAATTCCAGCTCCCACAAGTCACATTTCAAATGTTCAGTAGCCATATTGTATTAGTCAGGGTTCTCTAGAGGGACAGAACTAATGGAATAGATACATATATAAAGGGGAGTTTATTAAGTATTAACTTTCACAATCACAAGGTCCCACAATAGGCCATCTGCAGGCTGAGGAGCTAGGAGAGCCAGTCCGAGTTCCAAAACTGAAGAACTTGAAGTCCGATGTTCAAGGGTGGGAAGCATCCAACACAAGAGAAAGATGTAGGCCAGGAGGCTAGGCCAGTCTCTGACTCAAATGTTAATCTCCTTTGGCAACACCCTCACAGACACACCCAGGATCAATACTTTGTATCCTTCAATCAAGGTGATACTCAATACCTAGTGGCTATCTATGGAAGACAGGGTTAATTTACAATGAACTGAACAAAACTCACTATTTATCTCTGGGGATTCCTGGATGTCTATTTGTTGATTCTTGGCCAACATAAAATCAGTGGGATTTGTTACATGCAGTTAAAGACTGAACCTTCCCTGGCTACCTCCAGATAGTGTTTTTTTCTTTTGTTTTGTTTTTTTTCTTACAGGTTTTTAACTGGCTTAACCTGTTTATCAACCTGACTTAAGGGCCAAAAGTGTATACAAATCTTGGAAACATCTGCTTTGAGCTCAGGGGAAGCCAGGATTTTTCACACAGAACCACACACCTTGGAGGTTCAATCCAGTGACAAGAGCACAGGCTAGGTACAAATAAAATCCCTGGTGAACTGTCACATAAGATGTCTTTCAGAATTCCAATGCTTGCTTGGATTCTGTTTCTCTTGCTACAAGCACCGTATGCTTTTTTGTTGTTGTTGTTTTTAAACAGAAATCTCTTGTTTTGTAGAAACTTTTCTAATGCACAACTTGAAACATCTTTGCATTGCTATGTTAGCCAGTGTGACTACAGAATATTTCTATCATCATAGAAAGTTCTAAACAGCTTTGACCTATAAAATTTTTCAATTAATTAATTGAAATGCAGTAAAAACATGGAAATACAATTACTGTTATCATGACACATACCATAAACTCTTTCACCACTCATCGTGAGGGAGTGCAAAGATTAAACTATTGTAATCAGAAAGTCTTTGGTGTGGGAAAAAATGGAATATGAGTACTTAATCGAGTTTTAAAGTTACAGGCTCCTAGTGATAATTAAAAGCAAAGCAACTTCTAGTTGGTTTTATTACTAAATTTAATTCTTCTAGCAACATCTTTTTATTGACTGTATCCAGGTTTAACTGCTCTCAGTACAATCCTTTATGCCACTGGAGCCAGGTCACTTCAGCCAAGCCAGGCTATAAAAGCTAACTTCATCTGACCTAGAGATGCATGAACAAGCCTAGCAGGTGAGCATAAAAGATCTGTGAGATCTTGTCTCACAGCTGAACAGGTCTGTGAGAATAATGGATCAAAGTTGTAATCCACTATGCTTTTCATCATCTCTAGTGCAGCAAGAGATGGCTAATAGAAACATTTAGCGAGGAAATTAGGATTTTTTTTTTTTTGTCATTTTGTATTTAAACACCTCTGATGGTTAAATCTCAAAGACAGGTAAATAGGTGCCTAGAATTCTGAAAGAATCTCTCTGTTGCTGGCCAATGGGAACCATGGTTTTATATGAGGGAATTGGGTAAGACTTAAGGAAGAGTTCTAACAAATACCAGTATTAGGTAGATGATTAGAGAGAGAAAAAGGAATCCACGTGGAAAAAAGAAATAGAGAGATGAAATTAAAACATCACAAGTTACTGAATGAGCAAATTTTTTATAAGAGACTTGCAAATTTGCCAATGATTTCATGGAGAACTTTTCAGTTTCTAGTTTGGAAATGTTAATTTCTATAATTGCATCTTTAATGCAATCTCTCCAGTTTCATATATATCTATTTCTTTAAAAATGTTAATACTTGTGAAAAGAAGTGTTCGTGAGATATAATAAGCAATAAATATAGACTTATTTAGAGTTGTTACATAAATAAATAAATAAAGATATAAATAAGTGAATAAAGTTAGTGGCTGTAAGAAATTCACTGGATGTGAGAAATACAGTATGCTTTGAAAAGTTATTAGAAAGTTAAAGAAAAGTTTTTGGTATAATGTTATTGTTCTCAGATTATAGTTAAATAACATTTAATTCTGCTAACTAGATCTGAAAATAACTTTTGAAGATAAAATTAGTATAAAATTTGGAAGAAAATAAATGTCTCTTATGAATATATAGCTACAGTAGGCAATATTTTAATAAAACACATAAACATGTATTGTTAATATTGTGTATATCTTGGGTGATTCCATCACAATTTTATTTTAATTTATCATTTAGATTGTCTTACATAAATACGAGGTATTAATCAGAATCCCTCTACCAGATTATACATTGTTGATGACTTACATTGCATTTTCCTTAAAAGGATTAAAAAGAAAATGACCTATATATGCATTGATCATGGCAATAGTGAAATAACACTCAAATTGTATTTATAGTTTAGAGGAATAGATTAGAGATAAATAGGGGATGCCATTTATTTGCTCATTTGATGCTTCATGAATTCTCTTAGTACAATTTTTCCCAGGTGTTTTTATGTATATTTAATCAGATGAGGCTAGAGACGGTTTGTTTTTATTACATGGGAGTACTCTCAGTGTATTATTACCCCAACTGAGTATCTCAACAAATATTGGACTTCAGAGAAAAAATAGGCATATGAGTTAATTTATTGGGAGAGTCTAGATAGTTCACTTCTATTATTATTAATAGAAATACACAAGCAAAAATTTTCCCAAGGAAACATATTTTATGATCGCATATATGCCAAACATTGATAGTAAGAACTTTATATGTATTACATCATTTTTTCTTAAAAACTCTATGAAGTATTCGTATTCCAATTTTGCCTACACCATAGACTTTCTGATTATAATAGTTTAATCTTTGCCCTGTATCATGATGAGAGGTGAAAGAGTTTATGGTATATATCATGATAACAGTAATTGTAATTCAATGCTTTGCATTTTAGCACCTTCTTTTGGGAGTGATTAAAATAAATCAATACAACTAAGAAGAGTATATAAAGAGAAAAACAGAAAAATGAGTCAAGTTAAGTGAACTCCATAATGCCCTGAAAATCTTTTATCTTATCTAAAGGGGCCTTATTTTCCTTCTTTGTTTCTATGGTTTATATATTAATATTTAAAAAACAACAAATAAAACATACAGTTGAAAAAACACAGTGAATATGGCAGTTTGTCCAATTATATAGAATCGCATTTAATGTATTAATTTCAAGATAGAATAGAATTTTTAAGGTATACATGATATAAAATCAAGAGAAGACCTGGAGAAACAGATTATAGAATCAGTTTTCAAGAAAGGCTGTGTCACTGTGGTGGACTTTTTTTTCTTTTTCTTAACAGCAGCTTTATTGAGATATAAGTCATATAATAAACAATAAACTTATTCAAAGAGTAAAATTATGTTTTTAGTATATCTGTTGTTTAAGCATCAACACATCCAATTTTAAAATATTTTCTTCACTACCAAAAGAATATTTACCAATTAGCCGTCATTTTTTTCAACTCCATTCACCAAGCTCTAGCCATCATCAACCACTAATCTACTTTATGTCTCTACAGATTTGCATATTCTGGACATTTTATATGAGTGAAACGATACCATATGTGATCTTTTGTGACTACATTCTTTCATTGGTTTTAAGGTTCATCCACGTTGTAATATGTATAGCTACTTTATCACTTGGTTTTTGAAAACAAATATCCTATAGTATGGATATACCACATTTTGCTTATTCATTCATCAGTTGATGTACTTGTGGGTTGTTCTGATATTTTGTTTATAAGAAATAATGCTTCTGTGAACAGTCGTGTAGAAGTTTTTACTAGGATGTATATATTTCGAATACTCTTGGTATACATCTAGTGGTTAAATTGCCGCATCATATGGTACTCTTGGTTTACCTTTTGGATAGGTGACCAAACTTTTTCCAAAGCAGCTAAACCCTTTGCTTTTCCCCTAGCAGTGTATGAAGATTCCAATTTCTCCCCATTCTCATTGAAACTTGTTATTATCTTTCTTTTTTATATTATCCATCTCACAATATAAAGGAGTATGAAGGAATGTCTCATTTTGGATTGATTTGCATTTCTCTGATGGCAAATGATGTTGAGCATCTTGCCGTATGCTTACTAGACATTAGTATTATATATTCTTTGGAAAAATGGCTCTTTAGATCTTTTTCCCTTTCCCTAAATTGGAATTAATTTTTTTTAATTCAATAGACATTTAGTATTCTGGATACTAGTTCTATATCAATATATAAATGATTCACACACATAAAAAATCCATTCAGTGCCTTCTTTCCACTTTCTTGATGGTGTTGTATGAAGTAATTTAATTTTTGAATTTTGATGAAGTCCACTTTTCCTTTGTTGTTTGCTATTTTGTTGTCATATGTAAAAACCGTTGCCCTCTTCAAGGCCAAAAATCTGTTTTATTCTAGAAGTTTTAGCGTTTTAGTTCTTACATTTAGGTGTTTGTTTTTCAGTTAATTTTTAGAGATGTTATGAGATAGAGGTCCACCTTCATTCATTTCCATATAGGTATCCATAGCATCATTTGGTCATAATACTATTTTTTTAATTCAATTGTCTCTGTACCCTTGTTGAAATCAGTTGACCATCAATATAAGGTGTATTTCTTGACTATGAATTACATTCCATTGATCTATAAGTTTAATCGTGATGGCAATACCACACTCTCTTGAACACTAGCTTTGTAATCATTTTTAAATTAAAAAGCTGCTTCAAATTTGCTCTTTTCTAAGTCATTATGATTATTCTGTGTTGCTACAATTTCCATACATATTTTAGAATCAGCTTATAAATTTCTGCAAAGATTGATGGGATTTTATATGGATTGTGTTGAATCTGTAGATGTATTTGGGAGTGTTACCATTTAAACCATACTGTCTTCTGCTCTATGAACTTATTATGACTTTTCAATTATTTGGATCTTTTAGAATTTTTTTTTTTTTGAGATGGAGTTTCGCTCTTTTTGCCCAGGCTGAAGTGCAACGACTCAATCTCAATTCACTGCAACCTCTGCCTCCAGGGTTCAAGCGATTCTTCTGCCTCAGGCTCCCAAGTAACTGGGATTACAGGCATGTGCCACCACGTCCAGCTAATTTTGTATTTTTAGTAGGGACAGGGGTTTCACCGTGTTGTTCTCAAACTCCTGACCTCTAGTGATCCACCTGCCTCAGCCTCTCAAAGTGCTGGGATTACAGGTGTGAGCCACCGCGCCAGGCCTCAATTTTTTTTTTTTCTGTTTTTTGAGATGGAGTTTCGCTCTTGTTGCCCAGGCTGGAGTGAAGTGGTGCGATCTCGGCTCACTGCAACCTCCGCCTCCTGGGTTCAAGCGATTCTGCTGCCTCAGCCTCCCAGTAGCTGGGATTACAGGAGCCTGCCACCAGCCTGGCTAATTTTTTTTTCTTTCTTTTATTATTACACTTTAAGTTTTAGGGTACATGTGCACATTGTGCAGGTTAGTTACATATGTATACATGTGCCACGCTGGTGCGCTGCACCCACTAACTCGTCATCTAGCATTAGGTATATCTCCCAATGCTATCCCTCCCCCATCCCCCCACCCCACAACAGTCCCTAGAGTGTGATGTTCCCCTTCCTGTGTCCATGTGATCTCATTGTTCAATTCCCACCTATGAGTGAGAATATGCGGTGTTTGGTTTTTTGTTCTTGCGATAGTTTACTGAGAATGATGATTTCCAATTTCATCCATGTCCCTACAAAGGACATGAAATCATCATTTTTTATGGCTGCATGGTATTCCATGGTGTATATGTGCCACATTTTCTTAATCCAGTCTATCATTGTTGGACATTTGGGTTGGTTCCAAGTCTTTGCTATCGTGAATAATGCCGCAATAAACATACGTGTGCATGTGTCTTTATAGCAGCATGATTTATAGTCATTTGGGTATATACCCAGTAATGGGATGGCTGGGTCAAATGGTATTTCTAGTTCTAGATCCCTGAGGAATCGCCACACTGACTTCCACAATGGTTGAACTAGTTTACAGTCCCACCAACAGTGTAAAAGTGTTCCTATTTCTCCACATCCTCTCCAGCACCTGTTGTTTCCTGACTTTTTAATGATTGCCATTCTAACTGGTGTGAGATGGTATCTCATTGTGGTTTTGATTTGCATTTCTCTGATGGCCAGTGATGATGAGCGTTTTTTCATGTGTTTTTTGGCTGCATAAATGTCTTCTTTTGAGAAGTGTCTGTTCATGTCCTTTGCCCACTTTTTGATGGGGTTGTTAGTTTTTTTCTTGTAAATTTGTTTGAGTTCATTGTAGATTCTGAATATTAGCCCTTTGTCAGATGAGTAGGTTGCAAAAATTTTCTCCCATTTTGTAGGTTGCCTGTTCACTCTGATGATAGTTTCTTTTGCTGTACAGAAGCTCTTTAGTTTAATTAGATCCCATTTGTCAATTTTGTCTTTTGTTGCCATTGCTTTTGGTGTTTTAGACATGAAGTATTTTTAGTAGAGACGGGGTTTCGCCTAGTTGGGCAGGCTGGCCTTGAACTCCTGACCTCAGGTGATTCGCCCGCCTGGGCCTCCCAAAGTACTGGGATTACAGGCGTGAGCCACCATGCTCAACAGAATTTTTTAAATTAAAAAAAATATATTTTAGGTTCGGGGGTACAGGTGCTGGTTTGTTATATAGGTAAACTTGTGCTACAGGGGTTTGATGTACAGATTATTTCATCATCCAGGTACTAAGTCTGATACCCAATACATTTCTTTCAACAATTTTGGTTTTCTGATTATAGTTGTATACTCTTTTGGTAAAAATTTATACATATTATGTTATTATTATAACATTAGCCGTCATGTTTTACACTATTAGGAAGGTTTCAACTTTAGAAATGCACTAATTTTATACCAAGAGGAAGCTGGATGAGAAATAAAATGACACAATAAAAAACTATTAGTATTCATGGCTCCAGAAAAACACCATATCTGCTTTGTCCTAAAATGGATGTCCCATGCCCTTTCTAAGTGACCCTGGTTGCAAGTAGATAAAAAGAAGAAACAACAGAATTTGCTACAGCATGTTCCCCTCTACATTCCAAATATAACTGAACAATGTGGATTATACCTGAAAGCATAACTGCAAAGGAATTGACAGTATGTGAGTTTGCAAAAGTAGGTACATACATAAATATTTTATTCTCTTTTTTGTTTTCTGGTCTCAGCAATAGAAGAAAGCGTATTAGAAGTGTGTTCTTAAGTTGAAGCATCTAAATAATTAATGAATTCCATCACATTCAAAATAAATATACAAAGAACAGAATAGCAAAGTATGGAATGAAAAATATTAAAGCTTATTATATGTTATAATTGACAGTTTCATATGCCTTTGGTTTGTCTGTGTGAGACTTGAGTTGCTGTGTAAAGTGTTCTGGGTTGTATTTGAAAAGTTTTGAAAAAATCTGCACCCATAGAGGAACGAAATAAATGTTGTGTATTAATCTACCATGTTCAACACAGGAAAAAAATGTTGAATAAGATTCATATTTGATAATTTACCTAAATACTTGTTTTATTCAAGTAAAATTTGCCATATATCTTTCAAAAGCAAACAAAGGGGTTAAAATGTTATTTTTAAGGTGATACACACATATATGATTCACAGAGTTTCTGAGAGAGTGCTTGCAAGTGATAAAGAGCTGACATAAATACAGTAATAAAAGTATTGATTTAGAGGAACCGAGATGATAGCATTGGAAGCTTTTAAAAAAGTCACAGCAATTTACAGGTAAAAACTATACTTACAGTCCATATAAGCTCCCTTAAGTTTAGGGATACTCCAGTTTAAAATAGATTTCCAAAAAGGAATACTGTAGACAATAGCAAAAGTGCTTATCTGAATCTTATTCTTAACTGGAGTTATTTATCAAATTTTGATGTGCATTTGGTATTATGTCGATTCTGACCTATTACTGTTAAGTTGAATTAAAATACAACGTTTGATTATATAATTCAATAATCTGAGTATTTTTTTAAATTGTGTTTTACAGTAAAAGCCCCAATAAAACTTATGGTGAACTTCAGACAAAGTATTCTCAGCACAACAATATATTTGTTTCAAACCAAGAGATTTTCACAAAGATTATGCAGCAAAATCACCAAGTAAGATAAGGAATGAAAAGCAACTAAGCTATTGAATAGGAGCATTTTAATTTCTATTCTTTATAACAGTTCACCTTGGCTAAATTTTCTGAAATAAGACAGACATGTTATATTGTCATTTTTTTTTCCCCAACAGAGTTCCTTTATATAGTGCTTCTTCTCCTTATTACATGAGGCCATAGAGTGTGCTGTTTACTGGCATAGACACTGAAGCCAGACTTTCTGTTTTCAAAGCCAGCTCAACCTCTCATTACTGTGTAATCTCACTCCTATTACATAACTTGCCTCTGCCCTGCTTTCTTTAATTTTAGAATTCAGGAAATAATTTTACTTACTTAGTAAAGGGGAAAAAATTTCTGCTGGAATATGAGCTGTGAGGGGAATACTGGTAATTTAATGGAAACCACAGCTTGCAAAATGAACTACAGGTTTTTTCAGAAAATAGAAAACCTGCACCAACCCAAACTTTGATCAGAGACTTAAGTCCAAGTGAATACCATACATAGACCTAAATAAGCATAACTCCACATAGAGTCATGTGTTCTAAATAAGGCTAATTGTTTCAATGACCCTTCAATTTTCCAATTCTGAACAGTGCTTGCCAACATAATCCTCTAATCTACCTCCCCAAATCCTACAAGTACCCTTCTAAAATTTCTCCCTTTTGAGATGCCCCACAGCTCTATTAAAGTGGCTTCATTGTCTGGGGTGATACCTGATGTTTGTTGTGTCACGCCAAGGAAATCCAGGATGTGGACACACAATGAGTGAGGTTAAGAACAGAGGTTTAATAGGCAAAAGAAAGAGAAGAGCTATCTCCTGCAGAAGGAGGGGTCACGAGCAGGTTTCCACTTCTTCAGGGAAGTGCAAGGAATTTTATATAAGCTTGAGGAAGTGGTATCTGATTTACATAGGACATGAAAGATTGCCTGGACCAGGTGTGCCATTTGCATAGGGTGCCAAAAAGTGGTTAGGGCTAGGTGTGCCGTTTGCATAAGGCACAAAAAGCTGCCCCCTACCCCCTATTCTTTTATTATGCAGATGGGTTCTCTACCTGGCCAATGCCATATTGCCTGTTTCTTTACTGTACACATGGTAACAAAGAAAAGGGAAGATGGAGCCTCTATGTTGGACATGCCTGGCTCCCAGGTAGCCCTTTTCTGTTGGTGCAGCTGCTGGCATTCCCCCCATGCAAGTTTTCAGCTTGCTTATCTATGTTTGTAGCTCAAGTTTTCAGGTTGCTCTTTGTTAGGAAAGAAATTATTTTGGGGCTGCTTTTTGTTAAAAGGGAAATTCTGCCTAAATAATTTTTTCTAACTTCTGTATTATTAGGGTGTTTATTCTTCCTTTCTAGGGACCACAAGATTGTTCCTATCAATCTTGAGCTAGTAACTCTGTATCTCTTCCACACTTTATCTGTAAATGATAGATTTTAATGTTTCCCACATCAGTGGTTATTGTAAGAATTGGTGGAGATGATCCATATAGAAGTCATTCATGTTTGAGCACTTTATAAGGATTTGCATTTATTGTTCTCTACTTGCTTATTTGTGTTTTTCTCCATGTATCCTTTTTCAAAAAGCATGCTCTAAAGAACTCCATGAGAAAAATATACTAACACCTCAGAAAAAAAAAAAAGTATCAGAGTGAGTTAAACCCAATGAGATAATACCAAAAATGCTTAAGTATGTTTTAAAGTACTTTAATTATTTCAAAATCCAAATAAACCAGTGATAAAAAACATCTGAAAAATACTTCAACAGATTTGAGCTCTATGCTTTTGTTATTTACATGCCTGCTCATTGTGCTCTGGAACATTTCTTGGGTATTGATGGGAAATAAAACATTTAGTCAATTCTCCTGTTTCTATGAGTTACTTGATCAAGAGATAGAACCCCTTAGCTGTTTCAGCAAGTAGATTTCTGACATTTCTGTGGATATAATTAAAACCTACCCTTTCTTCTCTATCTGTACTATTGTATTTAGTTCTTACTTATGTATGACACACAAAGTTAACTTTTATATGCATTATATTTTTAAAATGCTCATAACTATTATGAATTTGTAATTATTATGGCTCAGAAAAATTAGTTATGTGTTCAATATCTATATCAAATAGAGAAACTACAATGGTTTAAAGATGGCTTTTTCATGACTCTCTGTTATGTAGTCTGGAGAGAAAGCAAATCATATATATGCTTAACAACAACTCTACATGTATCAAGTGCATACTTGACTATGTCATAATGAAGGCCTTTTGCATCAGTAAAGCTGGGAAGAATTTATCTTCTTTCATGTAAGTTGGTGCTTTCCCTTTATTTGCCCTACTGGTATACTATATACACTTCTTTACCACACAATTAGTAAAGATAGAAATTATGGAGAGCCATTGTAAAAATACATTCAAATTCTTCAAAATGACTCCTTAAGCATAAAAAAAATAGTTTAACATTTGTGGCTTGAGTGTTGCAAATGTTATAGTATTCTTATCTTTTTTTAAAAGAAATATTTTAAAGTTTCAGCTATTGGCTTTTCTTCTACACAGAAAAAATAGAAGAAATAAAATTAGAACTGCAAATGTAGCTAATTGTTAGAATAGACACACACACACACAAATTCAAACACAATAATAGACATACTTGTAAGAAAATAAAATACATATAATGTTCTTAAGGTATTTTACATATGAAACATTATAAGCAAATACATGGTACCTGGTCATACAGTTTGTTAAAGGCTAATGAAGATACTTATACCACATGGCCAAGGCTTTATAGTAATAACAGGACAACTTTACAAAAGGATATTTATCTAGTTAATCAGCATTTCAGAACTGTTCCTAAATATGTCATTTTTTTGATCTTCAGAATTTTGTTTCTATAGAGTTTGATTATTCTAAATTGTTAGCTACTAAAAGAAAGAGATGGAAAGATGGAAAAGCTTCTTCAGAAGCTTTCTGAAGAGTTGGGAACTTCCAAGTAGACTGAAAACAGAGAACAAACTATGATAACTAAAAATCTACTCTCACTACCAGACTTTACATTTATTAGAGAAACAAATGGAAAACAGTAAGACACTGACAAAGTCCCTTCACTATCAGATGAACTTTGAGACTAAAGGGCCAGTGCTCCTCCACTTCCCACCCCTAAAAGGAGAGAATCTTCAAAATTATATAAGTAAGAAATATTAAAGACTTATATTGGTCCTAAAGATTAGTAGGAAAAGATCTTTACTTTTATTCAAAAATGAAGCTTTACTGGCAGGAATAACACTTTTTTTGTGCTGGTTACTTCTGGAGTCAGGGTAACTACTATTAGTTTTAATTCTAGGTTTGCTCATACAACTATTTAAAGTATTTTCAGTATGCTGAAATAAAAAATCCATTGCTAATACAATGTAGAAAATCCCCAAACAATACCATCTCTTGGAAGTCTGCTATTACAAAGCCTCAAAGGATTTACTAAATTGAAGTGAAAGTAGGAAGGGACAAGTATGAGAATATTGTCCCTAATTCCCACTTGGGAGAAAAGATCAACATTTGTGCAAATTGCTCTTTGTAAGGAAGAAACAAATACTTCAAGTCCTCCTTGGTTAAGATATGAAAAGAGTTTTATTTTGTTCTCTGGGGATTCTCTCCCAATGGTTAAAAAAAAAATAGGAACCTTAACTGATCTCTTCATCCAAAGTGTTAAAATTGTTCTCTATATTCATGAAGCCAGATGTTTCATAAGCAGATTTTGGAAAAAGACAGTAGATCTATCTTCCCAAACAACAAACCACTGCCTTATCTAGCATGAACAATTATATAAAGTTAATCTTCACAACAACAGCAGCAACAACAATAATAGTAAATATCACTTCTATATATTTTTAAAAGAAAAATGCCTAAATAGAAATTAGGTTTACAGTGCATTAAATAAATCAAAACAAGCCTGAGTGGTTTTTGTTTTTGTTTTTGTTTTTGTTTTTAAAGTAGTCACATATAATGAGGAGGCATCCAGGATTACTTTACAAGGAAACACTATGATAGTGGTTCTCAAACTTTTTGGTCTCGTATTACGCTTTTTAAAGTGGAAAATCTCAAAGTCTGTTTTAAAAATGTTTTTATATTACTAATATTTACCATAATGTAAATTGAAACAGAGAAACTTCATTTTTTTAACTTAGGCATTTAAGAATAACCATGATAAGCACACTACATGATAATATAAATATAGTATTTTTAAAAAATATTGAAAAACATCAATGATAAAGTGGCATTGTTTTTACAGTTATCCACATTTCTAGTCTCTGTATTAAGACAGATTCTCAAATCTGTTTCAGCAGACTAAACAAATTCTGTTGTTTTGCTTTATATGTAAATATACAAAGATAATTGCCCTTGAACAGATAGAAATGTAGTAAATATGTACAAAAAGGAGATTTTAAGCACAGTTCAGATAATTATGGATTATCTGAAATTCAACAATATCAGTATTTGACAAGTGATAGAAAAATTTCTAAAGAATTACCACATGACATCTTGAAATGTATAAATGAACTTTTCAAAGTCCATTAGATTAAAAACCGTTAGTCAGTCTTGTACTTCAACTGGATCTTTTATTCATGCATGATTTTGTAACCTCATACTTTGGTCATTTTGAAAATACTGGCTTACCGAATAATGTAGTTCTTTTACATTTTGATATATTTCAACCCTTAGCACATTAACATTTGTTAATATCAATAATCTCATAACTTGAAGCAAGTATTGGGAAATGTTCGAGCTCACAGTAGCAGATAGCAGTTTTCAAAAAATTTGAATTTTTGTTTGAAAACAAAACTTTTATCATTGGTAAAAACATGGTGGTTTTCACTGAAATGAGAGATTAATTTTATTCACGTTTAAGAAAAAGTATGTTAATACCCAAATCTAGATAATCATTGCTTAATTATCAGTGGTTATTTCAAGGAAAAATTACCTCTATGATAAAAGTGAGTTTACCCTAAGATAACCATTATACAGCACAAGTGTTTTTTTGCAAAGTATCCATTTCATAACACTGAGTATGAAAAAATGTGTACTCGAGTGTAAAGATTTAATAAAATTAATATACTGCTTCATCAAAGATATTATTCAGTGAAACTTCTGCACTATGCACAAAGTGTTCCAACTGAAAAATGTGAATTTTCTATTAAGGGCAGAGCAAGGGTGGGTGCAAAGAGCTAATTGTGTAACATTAGTAAACAGAGAACATAGCAGAGGCTGTTTGCAAGGACATTGTAAGGACCATTAATCATATTGAGTAATGTAAGTGTAGATTTAGTTTTATTGTAGTTTTGAAGAGTTATCTCACTTTTCACCACTAAAACTTCCTTTAAATTATTCTATTTTGGTTGTGTTTAGGAAGCTGCCATCAGGGATTCCACAAAGTGGATGAGCAAAATGGTTCCAAATTTGTTATCTGCAAAAAACATCTGCTTCAAGGAAAATGATCATTGTCATGAAGCATAGCTGAGCTTTTATTCTTCTAGTATCAGGAGGCAGTCCCTCTACAGCTCTACAGTGAGGTTTTTCTTTATTTTTTGTTTTGTTTTATTTTTACCAGAGTGTTACAAGCTTTTTGAAATATTTTGTTCCACAGTGTATTTATAGAGCAAAACTTCTAGACAAATAAATAGAAACAACTTCGTTAGCAAGTACAATACAGAGCAAAACAGGAAAATCCATATGGATCTAGGTAGAATGTAGAAAAAATACTAAAAAAAAAATCATACCAATGACTGCAAATAGATATTATTTTCCCATGCATTACTTCTACCTTTTTGTGCAGGTGCTTTTCCAGATTTGCATTTTCTGAAGCCAGATTGATGCTGCCTTAGTCTCCTCTGCCATTGATTGTGAGTTTCTAGCTGTAATTAGCTTAACTTTTTTTGTTCACCATTAACAGTAAAACAATGACTGTCTAAGTAATCTTAGATCATTTTTCCATAAGCAAACACAATAGTAATAATAATAATAAGGCAAAAAATATATCTATAAGCATAGAAAACCAAAATACATTGAAATCTTCCCATAGACCCCATAACACCTTTGAGGAGAGGGAAAGATATTTGGTGTAATAATTCATCTTGCAGAATATTTTTTTCTCCTATGTAGATATGCTTTATAAGTGCTTATGTTAACATAAGCTGAATTAAATGTGATATAGCTTTTTTTCAGTAGTCTAATGAAATTTTAAAACAAAAAGTAAAATTCAATTTATCTTCATTTCATAAATAATTTGAGATAAGTTTACAGTTGCCAGTTATTTTCATGATTGAAATAGTAAAATTTACTGGATCTAGAAGAAAGATATTTAAAGACAAGTTGCCTTTTTTGCAATTTAACCTTCATTAACTAAAACTAAAAAAAAAATTGAACATTAGAGGCAGATATATGATTGATGTGATAAAAATTACGTTCTGACCCACTATACTTTCATGTGTTCAAAACAGTAATTCATATATAAACTGGCTCCAGCCTATGACTAGAATAGTGGCCCAAAATTGCATTAAACAAAGGTACTATCACAGAGGTTAAGTGGTCATGATATAATTAACTAAAATCCATTTTGAATGAAAAAAATTTTGGCTTGAAGAATAAGAACTGTTTTCTAAAATAATATTCAGAAAACATGTATTTTAGGGAAGGTACATGGAATACCAATTAAGTTTACAATGTTTACTATCATAGTGCAATATTTTAAATTAAAAAATATGAAAAACAAAATAGCTAACAACATATTTTAGGGACATTTACATAAATACAATTAATAAATTTTTTTCAAAAGATAACTATGTTTATTTACCTCAGCACCAGTATAATTAAGAAGTTAAAGATGTAAAATAGCATTAACGCAAAATGAACTTTTTAATAAAAGTGTAAGAATTGCCAGCCTACTTCAAAATATTGGCACCTCAGGACCAATATTTTGCCAGTAATAGTTTAACTATTAAATTTATTGTGAAACTAAACACAGCCTTTATTACTTTATTAGCCACCACCTGGCATGATTTCAAAGATATCTTTAGAATAGTCTACTTGCGGCCGGGCGCGGTGGCTCACGCCTGTAATCCCAGCACTTTGGGAGGCCGAGGTGGGCGGATCACTAGGTCAGGAGATTGAGACCATCCTGGCTAACATGGTGAAACCCTGTCTCTACTAAAAAAAAAAACCACAAAAAATTAGCCAGGTGTGGTGGCGGGCACCTGTCATCCCAGCTACTGAGGAGGCTGAGGCAGGAGAATGGCGTGAACCCGGGAAGCGGGGCTTGCAGTGAGCCAAGATTGCGCCACTACACTCCAGCCTGGGCGACAGAGCAAGACTCTGTCTCAAAAAAAAATAAAAAAATAAAAAAATTAGAATAGTCTACTTGCATTAGATTCCTCAACTTGAATTTTTGTTCTAGAGGTAGAAATCAGGTGTACTGTAGTATATCATTAAAAATTCCATTCAGAAAATTGAGCAAGCTCGACAACCAGAATTGTGGGTCAGACTTTGTGACATGTGTTCTCAATGTTCAGGGTGGAGAGCACTATGTGGAAAAAGGAAGCTATGGGAGCTGTACCAATGATACAGGATGAGAGAGGTTTGAAAAGATTCAAAAATTTCCAATAGGTACTGACAAAGATTTTTGTATATCGGCATAGAATAAGATCTCAGGCAATCAATGAAGATATGAGAATTATATTCCAGGCTTTTTTCTCAGTTAGAAAAAATGTGATTCATCTTTATGAATTAAAAATATATGGTTCAAATATGTATGGAGGAAATCTTCATTTCAGGAGGGCCCAGGCAAAAATTTACAATGGTGCCTTTCACCTCTTTGTTCATATAACAAAGCCAATTTGTGTAACCAGTTAAACCAGGTATAAAGCAGAAAACAACACATTCCTAAGCAACATAGACAAGCTAGCTCGGGCTGTCTGTAAAGAAGTTCTGAACTTCAAGTTGAATGTTTTTTGGAGGTAAGGACAGATTTTAGTCCCTACTGCAATAGAGAAAATACTTCAGTGTGAACTAAACTCAACTTTGATTTGTAGAGAGATGAGTGGGTGTTTTAAAGGGAGAATGAGGCAGTAGGAAGGAGGGATGAGTGGGGACTTAATAAAGTCAGGAAAGTAAAAAAATATATATACAAAAAACCAAACACCGCATATTCTCACTCATAGGTGGGAATTGAACAATGAGATCACATGGACACAGGAAGGGGAATATCACACTCTGGGGACTGTTGTGGGGTGGGGGGAGGGGGGAGGGATAGCATTGGGAGATATACCTAATGCTAGATGACGAGTTAGTGGGTGCAGTGCACCAGCATGACACATGTATACATATGTAACTAACCTGCACAATGTGCACATGTACCCTAAAACTTAAAGTATAATAAAAAAATTAAAAATATATATATATATACAAAAAATGCATGCAAAAAAGAAATTGTTTCATGTGTACCCATATTAGGTTGCTAACTGACACTTTTTTTTTTTTTTTTTTTGAGACGGAGTCTCGCTGTCGCCCAGGCTGGAGTGCAGTGGCGCGATCTCGGCTCACTGCAAGCTCTGCCTCCCGGGTTCACGCCATTCTCCTGCCTCAGCCTCCCGAGTAGCTGGGACTACAGGCGCCCGCCACCGCGCCCGGCTAATTTTTTGTATTTTTAGTAGAGACTGGGTTTCACCATGGTCTGGATCTCCTGACCTCGTGATCCGCCCGCCGGGGCCTCCCAAAGTGCTGGGATTCCAGGCATGAGCCACCGTGCCCGGAGGCTAACTGACACTTTTTAAAGGTAGGCTCCTACCCTCCTACAGTGACTGGGAGGAAGAGGCCCTATCTTCCATTATTGGCTGAAATAAACGGTAAATTCTTTTGGCAGCCTGTAGGCAGGAGCTTTAAGTTGACCTAGAGTCATCACAGGGATGTGGATTTGTGCTTTTAGAAATTATGTTAGTGTTGTTTAATTTTTTACAGGCCAAGGTTGATATTTAGTTGTAGAAAGCACTCAGAGGGGCTTGACTAGTATGCTGTCAAAAAGAGAATGTTTGTCAGTATTCCATCTTATTCAAGGAAAAAAAGGAGACATTATTTTCTCCAAACAAGATAAGTCCATTTCTCGTACCTTTTGTTTATTAAGGACCAGCTGAACCATCGGCTGAGACTTGATAGTAGAAGACATTTAATGAACGATACAAATCATCATGCATTTTGTAAGAGGAGTCTCTATGGAAACAAAAAGGAAAATGAGGATTAATGGTTGAAGCAAAATATAAATTTAGTTTTTGAGTCCAAAGGGCAGTTGGCTGAGAAGATTTCTGGGCATTGAGCTCTAAGTTCCTTTAGATGGTGACATGAGGACATCAGAGGCAATCTGATGAATTTCCCTGTTTGGAGTCTGAATGTTGTGGTGTTGGTGTACACTACTGTGTCACAGTGATGGCTGTGTTGCAGAGCAGAGTATGAAAGGTGGAGGGTTTCTGGGGGATTGTTTGAGTGGCTCATGTAGTAGCAGCTCCAAGCACCAAGGTAACCTATGCATAATTTGTTGCACAGTATTTTGACATTTATATTAAGTTATCTGGCTTCAGTACACAGAACTTGGTCCCATTAAATTTGGCCTGGCTATTTATGTAAGTGCAGCATGAGAGTAATTGACCGCACAGGTGTTTTTCAAGTTTGTTTAGTGGAACTTTTTACAAGGAATCTCAGATTGGACCTTTAAAAGCCTCTAGAGAGTGAGAAGCTAAGCCAAAAATTTGTGTTCAGGCTTTGCCTACATTACATATAGATTTCGATAAATTCCACTCTTTTCCAAGTTTACAAATGATCCTGTTTCATTGGCCTGTGAGGTAGTGACCTTTCTTACCTGTAAGGTTGGGAAATATCAGGCTAGTTTTCTCAAAAGGGCTTTGTAAGCATTGGCTCTGTAAAGTCAACTTTAGGTCCTTAAAATGGTCTGATCATATCCGTTTTTATAAATCAGTTTCAAATGTAACATTCAAGTAAAAGTCTTGGTAGTGTAACCAATGTTTTAAATTATGCCCCAGATAAAGAAGAAAGATTCTTATTGGACATAGGCAAATAATTATATTTCCATGAAAATAAGAATACTCAATATTTTCAGATTTCTGAAGGGATCAGGCAGGGAGAAAAAGATGAATGTTTGAAATTTGTTTATAAAATATAATTTACTAGATTTTTATCAGTCAGAGAAAGCGTAAGAGAAAGGAAAAGGGGATTTCTTATGTCCAGAAAATAAATATTATGACTTGGCAATACTGTAAACAAACACAAAAAGTATTTCAAAATAAAATAAAAAGTATATAATCATCCTTTACCAGTGTACTCTATTACATGTTGTTAAATATGTTCTCGAACTTGGGTTAGGAGTTCTAAAAACCCATTAAGTTTTTTATTAGAGGTTTAGAAATCCTGAATGAGTCCACCCATATGATGTCAAGTTTTTAAAGCAATTTCATTAAAAGGCTATACCCAAGGGTACCTGAAATACTATGGGTTTCTTAGAAAGTTTCTCTGTGTTCAATGTAAGTAATCTGGTCTTTAGCTTATTGCAAGAGCTTTTCAGAAAACATCAGAGCAAAACAATTCTGGAAGTCTTCTGTGGATGACAAAAGTCTTAAAATGAACACAAGATATCTTTCCTCTTATTTGTGTCATCTTTCATTTTTTTCATTGATGTTTTGTAGTTTCAGTATACACATTTTTCATCTCCTTGGTCAAATTTACTCTCAAGTATTTTTTTCCCTATTATAAATGAGATTACTTTTATAATATCTTTTTTGGATTATTGATGTTAGAGTAGGGAAAGTTTACTGATTTTTGTATGTTAATTTTGTATCCCACAATTTTACCAAATGTATCAGTTCTAAAAGTTTTTGATGGACTTTGTAGGGTTTTCTACTGAAAAGATCACGTCCTTAACAAAAGGAGACTATTAGACTTCTTATTTTCCTGTTTTGATGACTTTATTATTTTTCTTGTGAAACTGCTATGGCTAGGATGTTCAATACTAAATTGAATAGCAGCGTTAAGAGTGGGCATCATTGTCCTGTTTTTGGTCTTAAAAGAAGAGCTCTCAATTTTTCACCATTGAGTATAATATTAGCTATTGGTTTTTAACAAATGGTCTTTATTGAATGAAGTGTGTTCGTTCTGTACCTATTTTATTGTATTTTTATCATGAAAGGATGTTGAATCTGTCAATTCAATGCAAATCTCTATCATTCCAAAGACATTTTTCACTGAAATTGAAAAATATAATCCTAAAATTCCTATGGAGCCACAAAGACCCCATATAACCAAAGCTATCTTGAGCAAAAAGAAGAAAACTCAAGGCATCACACTAACTGATTTCAAAATATACTACAAAGCTATATTAAGCCAAATAGCATGGTAATGGCATATAAACAGATACATCGACTGATGTAGCAGGATAGAAAGCCCAGAAATAAATCCATACACTTGTGGTTAATTTATTTTCCACAAAAGTACAAAGAACACACAATGGAGAAAGGCCAGTCTCTTCAATAAATATGATGACTAGATAGCCACATGCAGAAGAATAAAATTGGATCCTTATCTCATATCATATATAAAAATTTAACTCAAGATGAATTGAAGACTTCAACATAATACCTGAAACAGTAAAACTACTAGGAAAAAATATAAAGGAAAAGCTCCATGACACAAGTCTAAATAATAATTTCTTGGACAAGACCCCCAAAACACAGAAAAACAAAAACCAAAATAGACAAACGGGATTTCATCAAACAAAAAAGTTATGCACAACAGAAGAAACAATCAACAGAATAAAGAGACAACCTATAGATTGAAAGAAAAGATTTTTAAGTCATACATCTGAAAAGAGGTTAGTACATAAAATATATAGGAAACTCAAGGAATTTAATAACAAGGAAACAATCTGATTTAAAAAATAAGCAAAGGATCTGAACAGATACTCTTTTAAAAAGAAAACTACAAATGGCCTGTAGACATAAAAAAATTATCAAAATCACTAATTATCAGGGAATGCATATTAAAACCATAAGGAGATATCACCTCACATCTACTAGGATGACTTATCAAAAACACAAAAGATATTGTTGGCAGGGATGTAGAGGAAAGGAGATCCTGCACACTCTTGGTGGGAATGTAAATTAGTCCAGACATTATGGAAAAACTTATGGAGGTTTCCCAAAAAATTTCAAATAGAATTAACATCAAATGAGCCCACTTTTGGGGATATATTCAAAATAATTGAAATTGGTATGTTGAAGAGATATCTGCACTCCCATGTTTACTTCTGCACTATTCTCAATAGCCAAGATATGGAATCAAACTCTCTTCATTACAGATGAATAGACAAAGGATTTTGGTATATATACAAAATGGAATACTATTAAGCCTTAAAAAAGAAGGAAATCTTGTCATTTGTGACAATGTCAATGAACCAGGAAGACAGGTTAAGTGAAATAAATCAGGCACAGAAAGTCAAATACTGCATGATATCACTTTATGTACAAATCTAAAAAAGTCAATCTCATAGGAACAGAGAGGATAATGGTAGATACCAGAGGCTAGGAAAGAAGAAGGAAATGTGCAAAAGGAAGATATTAGGAAAAAGGTACAAAGTTTCAATTAGGAGAAATTAGTTTCAGTGATCCATCATATAAAGATATACCAAAATATATATTTATCTATATCAAAATGTATAGGTATCCTATAAAATGTATAGGATAAAGGTATATTATATCTTTATTTTGGTGAAGAATCAACAACAAATTTTCAGGCCTTCCTGGAGATAAGCATAGTGCTAAACTATTACAGTGATAAGACAACCCCATCTTAGACAGGAATTAAGAGAAATTTGATAGAAATCAATGAAACGTGCAATTGGTTTTGCATTAGTCTGTTTTCACACTGATTTAAAGAGCTACTTGAGACTGGGTAATTTATTAAGTAAAGAGGTTTAATTGACTCACAATTCCACATGGCTAGGGAGGCCTCAAGAAACTTACGATCATGGCGGAAGGGGAAGCTAACACATCTTTCTTCACAGGGCAGCAGGAGAGAGGTGTGTGAAAGAAGCAAAGGGGGAAGAGCCCCCTATAAAACCATCAGATCTTGTGATAACTCACTCACAGTTATGAGAACAGCATGGGGGAAACTGCCCCCATGTTCCAATCACCTCCCACCAGGTCTCTTCCAAAACACCTAGGGATTACAATTCAAGATGACTTTAGGGTGGGGACACAAAGCCTAACCACATCAGCTTTTATTATCAAAATCATAAATTTAAAATCAAGAAGCCATAAATATTTTTTTTTCCATTTTTCTTGCCTTTTAAATATAGACACATTTTCTTAAACTTTAAAGGGGCAATTCCCTAAATTTAAGAGGTGGATGCTGCAAGTTTGAAGACAAATAAAAAAGTTAAGTGGTTTGCCGAATTTTTGTTATTATCAGACCTAATCCACAACCCCAACTCCCAATTCCTTATGTTGTGAAAAACACCTATTTTTATTTTTTCCTCAATTCAGATCAGCACAATGGAGGAAAGAAAATAATCCGTGTGTGTGTCTTACCTGTATATGTATGTGTGTATATATGTGTGTGTGTATGAGTGTATATAGTAGTGTGGAGTTACACACATACCTGATAGATACATGCATATCATATCATATATTAGTGTGTGTATATTATGTATATATTATATATATAGATATATATGTATGTATGTATATATATGCTGTCCTACTGCTGTGCAAGTTGAAAAAAAGTTGTAAGTTCTGGCAGGGTATGGTTGCTCACGCATGTAATCTCAGAACTTTGAGAGGCCGACATGGGTAGATCACAAGGTCAGGAGTTCAAGACCAGCCTGGCCAAGATAGTGAAACCCGTCTCTACTAAACATACAAAAATTAGCCGGGTGTGGTAGCAGATACCTGTAATCCCAGCTACTTGGGAGGCTGAGGCAGAGAACTGCTTGACCCCAGGAGGCAGAGTTTTCAGTGAGCCAAGATCTTGCTACTGCACTCCAGCCTGGGCAACAGAGCGAGACGCCATCTCAAAAAAAAAAAAAAAAAAAAAAAAAAAAAGAAGTTCCAAAGATTTTCTGTTTGTTTTTGTTGTTGTGTTTGTTTTGTTTTTTTGTTGTTGTTGTTTTGCTTTGAATGCTAATTGCTCCTATCCTTGACCCATACGTAAACTTACTGTAATCCTATTGCAAAGACTTTTTCATTTATCTTTAAAACAAACCTATTTATGTTGCTGAACACAGTAAAGAATTTTTTCTCTTTGCCACATATTTTTAGCTCACTATCTTTCCCCAGTGAGGTTTCAAAACCGTTCTCTCCTCTAGTTTCTGACCTCACTGTTTACCCCTTCATTAGGGGCAAATAGGTCCACTCAACACATTCATGAAAGGAGGGGAACAATGAACTTTATATTTTACTACTTAGCCTAAAAATGTATCTCTTCTTCATTACCTTTGAACAATTTTCACGGATTTACTTCTACTGTCTCATATTACAGGGAGATAAAATTTTGATCTACAATAATCAAAGCATGTTTTCTCAATATAAGTCCTCATTTCTTTACGTATGTAGTTGCTTATATGTAATTTAATTAATCGATAAGAAACTGAAAATAGTGCTCTTCAGTGTTAGAATAAAATACATGATCTTTTAACTAATATCTTGCTATTTATATTACTATTTTGTTTTTCCTTTTCAATTGACTTGTATTTATTTTGGTTCTAAAAAACAAACAAATTTAAATCTATTTTGTTATAACGTAAATACTAAGTTTAAAATTCATAAACAATCATGCACTGCTATACATTTCTTGAAAATATTCTTTAAAATAGGTTTATAGATATATTAATTTGTACATAGTAACTTATTTGCAGAAATAGAGACATTGTTGTGTTGGTAGGGGTAGAAAAAGTCAATACTTCTAGAAAAAATGAAGGCCTTACAACCTTGCTTTCAAAAGTAACAGTATAGAGGCTAATTTTGTCATACATATTTATCAATTTTATGCATAAAAATAAAATATTTCATAACACAATCAGAAAGTGACATTGTGTGCATAAATTTATATGCTATAGTTCATCTATAAATTGTGATTCAGCTTGAGCATTACAGAAAAACAAATTTCTAATTACATATCTTTGCATATTATTACTACAAACTTCCACCCTAGTTAGAATATTACTTTGAACTCCTGAGATGCTTTATAATATGCTGGAATCATATACATATTTATATTTGTAAGAAAATGTGTATATGTGTATATACATAGGCACTCATATGCATACATAATCATTTCTTTTCTTACTATAAAATATATTTATCACAAAATTAGAAAAAATGTACAAAAAAGTTTACAAATTTAGACAAAAATCATCCACAGCTCTACCACAGTTTGAAGTTTGTCTGTAGTTTTGTGGGGTGTGAGAGTGGGTACATGTAAGCATGATTATGACATTATATCTCCAACGCAAAATATAGTATGGAGTTATATCATGGTTATCTCCCCAGATATTAAATATTTTAAATGACATCGCATAAATGCCTTCCCCATGTCACAACCTATGAAGTTCCATAATGTGTCTGGTTCATCAGTAATATGTCCCTATAATTTGTAAGAGTTTTTGTTTCACAGAAGTCGCACAATAATGTTGACCCTCGAACAACACAGCTTTAAACTGCACAGATCCATATATACATAGATTTTCTCTTGCTTCTCTCACTGCTGAGACACCAAAAACATCTCTTCCTCAGCCTACTTAACATGAAGACAATAAGGATGAAGACATTTATGATGCTCCACTTCCACTTAATGAATAGTAAATATATTTTATCTTCCTTAGGATGTTCTTAATAACATTTTTTTCTCTAGCTTTCTTGATTTTTAGAATACGGTATATAATCTATATAACATACAAAATATGTGTCAATCAACTTTGTTACTGATAAGGTTCCTGGTCAAGAGTAGGCTCTTAGTATACACAGAATTTTGACTATGTATGGGATTTGACTTCTGTAAGCCCCACATTTTTGAAGGGTCAACTGTATTTGAATAACAGAATAGTAACACTACAGAAATTTCAAGTATTTTATATCTAGGTATTTCAAATTTTTTCATGATATGAGCCTCTTTATGTACACAGAGCATATGCAAAACAAAAAGTACTAAAAAGTTATGAATGATATTTCTTATTTCTCATTAATTCTTCATCCCATCGCTGCTGAAACAACCTTCATAATGTCAATAAATTTTCTTATTGTCAAATCTGGAAGGGACATTTAATGCTTTTTTTTAACAAAAATATTCTTTATCACATAATATCATTAATAATCCCAACCATTATTTTAACATCTCCTCGTTTGCTTACAACAACAGCTACACCTGATGCTTTAATGCCATTGTTTTGCACTTTTAAATATATGTGTGTGGATATATACACATACATATATATGTATATGTACATATATCTATAAATGTATGTTTATGTATACATATATTTACATATATTTATAAATAAATCATATTTATTATAAATACACACATACATATATATAGATATCATTTCCTCTTTTGCCCCACATCTGGGAAAGCCCATAAGAAAGCCTATATGCTTTTTCCTCTGGTGCTGTCAGGAATTTCAAATCAAGCAGGTCCTGGCTTCAGATCTCACCCGCTAATCATAATATTCAGAATCATTAGCCACTCACAGGCTGGCTTAAATGCCTCTCCAGCTCTCCCCAGAAAGCCTCAATATGTGAGTAATAAATCTCTTCATACCCTATTAATGTGTTTTTGGCATCACTGGTCTCCATAGTTAAACTCATTTAAGTGTATGGCTGAGTGGGGTCCATCTCATCATGACTGATAATCAGAAAACATGTGCATATATTAAGTCAAACTATTCTGAGCAGTTCTAGAGAATTTGCTTTGAGGACAATGTAGTCCCTTTTCTTTTTACTGTCCGCCCCCCCCGAAGAAAAGTACGACAAAACTTCTGTTGATTTATCTGATACTTTCTTTCACACATCTGCGTAACATGCTCACATTTACATATTTTGATTTTTTAGTTTTGGACACTAGTAACACTTGACGAGAGATAAGAATATTTTTGTCTTCATTTTCTTTCTTGTCTTTCCAAAAACATTCACCTCTACCATTTTCTCATCATCCAAAGAGTTATATTTCATGTCTTCTTCAAATTCCTATGAACCTTCCTATAAATATTCATTTGTACATTATAGTTTCCATTATTATGACAACATAAATGTTTTTTAGAATTGAACTATGTAGTAAACAATGATTGCTTTTATTTTCCATGCAAACTTTTATTTTACCTAATTTATTGTATTATTGCCCTTTTTATTTGCCTACTTTATATGTACTTTTCACTAATACAGGCATAACTTAACTGCCAACTATCTAATACTATTTCAAAATATTCTTGTGTGCATCAATTATTCAATAATTGAATCATCTTCAGGAAATACTTTCAATTACAATCCAAATTGCTCTAAGTAGGAGCAGTTGTCATACATATCCTTTGCACAATTGTAACTCTGAGATTTCCTTTTACTCTTGTTCTGAACATCTCCTTAATGTTGATTCTATATTTAACCTCTGATATATATTTTTTAAAAATGAATACTACTTAGCAATAAAGAACAACTAAAACAATTACTGACAAAGACATCAATATGGAAGAATATCAAAAATACCTACTTTGACAGAGAAAAGCAAAGGAAGGAGCATTTCTACAAAACCCTTCAGAGGTGAATTTAGCAAACTTGATTATCAAATATAAACTAGATATGAAACTTAAAGAAAAAAATCAGGAATTGAAGATAATCCAGTATCTTTTAGGACAATCTATAATGTTCTGTGCTGCTGTTTTCTAGGAAGCAAAGCATCATTTGTAGAATTGGCACTTAGTATTCCCTTAGTTATTATTTACCATTTGGGCATTATTTACTATTTTAGTTTTCAGGTCCATGGCATATCAAGAAATGAATATCTAAGTCATATTAACATTTCACTGCTGCTTGTCTTCCTAGAAATTTTCAGATACAGGTTTGTGTCCTCATTATGATGTATGTAAAATCATTTTTAATTAGCAGAAAATAAGACTGAAAATCCTTAAGACTAAACATTTTGTCCAAGATGAAATAACTATGACTTATAGCATTTTCCATAAACACAGAGAACTTAACTTACTTTTTCCAAAAGAGTCTCTCACTTGATAGAGGTAGGGTATTTTATTTTTATCTTCTTATTTTATTTTATAAAGAAAGCCTGTTGGAGATTTTCACAATCAGGCAGCTACATTTTTTGCATAAACTAAAAATATGAACAAATAACTAGAGTTTTAAAGTAGAGAAATACTTTATGTAAAATATTTAGTTTGTTATTTCAGAGTTTTAATTTTTACATGAACTATGATAAGTTGCAAAGTCATGGGGAAAGAAAGAGAAAGTAGTGATTTGAGAGTTATTTTGGAGAGAAAATGGACCAATTTAATGATGAATTAACTAAGAATAGATAGAGAGAGGTAGCATGGATTATTCATGAATAACTTATAAACTATAATAGATAATAAAGCTATTTATTAAGGTATAATTCAGCCCAAAAGACCAAATTTGTAGGAAGCTATGAGTTAGGTTTTGATTAAGTTAATGTTATTGTTAATGAAAATTCAAAAATTTATTTGGAGGAGTAATCAGGAGATTAACATCTATCTGTAAAATGTATAATTTATCTGCCTTAAGATGGTTATTAAATCTGAGAGTGCATAAGAACTTTCTAAGCACTGTCAAAGTAAAATAACGATGGAAATGTCCATTGATTTTAGTGACGTGGAAGTTCTCAGTAGTCTAAGTCAGAGATGTTTCAGAATTTTAATGAGCCAGAAACAAAACTGGAAAAGTTTCAAAAGTAAAGTATTGAAAAGATAAGTTTGGGTTTTAAAGATATAGCTAGAAAGGGTGAAATATGCCAGCAGCCAGAGCCAGTATATCACCTGGTAAGTAATGATTTTTTGTTATTATTTTAGGATCATTTTACTATTTTCGCATTAGAGTTTTTCCTGATTTCTATACCTATAATAATAATTTGCGAAATAGAATTTTCACCAATTTTCCTTATTTGAGTAATTCTTCAGTCACCAACCACCACCCTGCTCATTGGCTCTAAATTCCCACTTGTGCATGCTGAATTTGGAACTGACTCCAGTTCTGGGGTCTCTTGGGTCTCTTTTCCTCTCTTGCTATAGTCGAGAATAAAATACGTTTTTACTGCTTTAACTATTGTCCAGCTCTGGTTTTAGTGTGTCACTGAAGCAAGGATCACTTAGCAAGGGTCAAATAACTGACTTGTATCTTCTTTTATTTATACTCTTTCTTCTGTAATGAAATTTAGCATTTCTTCAGCCAGGAGAATATGTGGATTCTTCTATTTTTCTCTCAAACTTAGTTTTTCAGAGTAACACACAAACATTATTACAATTGTAATTTCCCTTTGATTTTGTATGTTGTAAAAGACAATGTTCGCCTTCTTTGGAATTAAGTTCTTGGTAGGGATTGTGATCTATTTAGTTAGAGGGGAAAAATGAGCAATGTGTCTTCCTAAACATTAATTTAACAATCTACCTTTTATCTTTGGATAAGAAATTGGGAGAACTTTCAAAGGGAAACATTCTCAAGTTGATTTAAATAGCTGTGACATACCAGTCTACTGCTCATTTTTCTTCCCAAATAGCTCAGTTTATGACTCAGCACCTCAAAATAATCTGCTTAATTAAATCAATGTTCACATACTGTATATATCTAAAGTGCATATGGAAAGAAGTAGAAGCAATATGCTTCAAATGAAGTATTTAAATAAAGCTTTATGCTAAAACTGACATGTTAGGTCTTTAAATACATCTTTCTTACTTTGCTTTTAATTTTTTAAAAGCCTCAGTTAACCCTAAGATTAGCATGTTTTATTGTTAGAGGAATACTTCTGCATTATTTTTGTAATTATTTTGCAGTTTATCCTACTTGAGGTATACACTATCACAGGAAGTACAGATTCTTCTGTCTATTTTATAAATCAAAGTTAAATGATGCAGATCCTGATTTTTTAAATATGATTAGAGAAGTTTAATTTGACTTTGTGATACCTCCATATGGTCAGTTTAATCAGCTATGTTGTTCTCAGACATGCTAGATAACTATTTCCTAAGTTAGACGGTCATATTTTGTTACTTGATTATTAAATTAATAAGATACATAGAGGACTTGAACATATGGTCCCATCAAGAAGATGGAATACAATCCTCAAAAAAAGAAGGAAAATAGGAATAAATGCATATGGGATGAAACAAAAAATCCATGTCTCTCAAAATTATTTACTTAAAATATTTAATTAAATATTAAATCATTCTGATGTAGATTGCTGTTATGTAAATGTCTCACCTCTTTCCCCCATATTGAAAACTCCAAATGTTAGAGATATATTCAACTCTTTGAAAATGCGAATTTTAACTACTAGGAATGTTTAACTATTTGGTGAGTGTTTGTTATGTACTTACTAAATCAAATTTAACTTTCTGAAACTGTGTCTTTGACATAATTTGGGAATATTATTAGTGTACAAAGTACTCTAATGCATTTAATATTTAAGAAACTATTTCAATTGTAAAATTAAAAAGTTGGAGTAAAAGTTGTGAACATATGATTTTAAAAGTAAAAAGAGTTTATTTTAGAAACATGAGCAAGTTCCAGGTGATACAATGTTGTAGCTTAATAAAAATAATGCGTTTTATGATATTTCTTACCTCAAAAGTTTTTATATGCTACATGAACTTTGTTGTATTTTAAAGAGGAGGGATTAGATAATCAAATAAAATATAAGGATAATCAAAAGTTCATTCTGACATATTCAACCAAGAGATGGACATTGAGAAACTTTGTTTAGTTTGGCTAATAGAGATTTATTTAATCACTAACTTAAAAAAATGTTTTTTCTTTGGATTATAATAACTTCATGTAATTGCTGCTGTGAAACCCAATAAGATAACTTTTTTTTATATTGTGCCTACCTGTTGCAGGATAAACAATGCACAATAGCTCTTACCAGCATTATGATTAATAAATTATTTTTTCCAGTCTCATCTCCTGTTGTTTTTTAAATGTCAGGAAGCAAAAGTAGCTAAGTGCAGTTCAACAATCACGTGTCCTTCACTTTGTTTACATTGTTTGCTTTCTCTGGAATATAATTCTCTCTACCTCTCCAGACACTTCATTTCTGACTTTTGGAAATACTACATCTTACACAAAACTTAATATTAGTATAACAAGATTTTTAAAATGTGGATTTTGGTTGAATATATTTGTTCTAAAATCACACAAGTAAGAAATTTAAATATTATCTCTGACATCCACTACCTATTAGCTTGGGTGAGTGCCTTAAACTTTTTAGCCCTTTGCAACCTCATTCACAAAATGGTCTAATAAAATCAACTTTAAAGATTTATTTTATGGGCTCCAGACTCCACTACCCATTTGTTTTCTCAGTGTCTCCATTTGTCCCATAGTTGCCCCAGAACTACTAAAATTAAATAATTCCACTGATATACATACCACGTTTCTTTGTGTTTTTTTATTAACTCTTTCACATAAAATGTTAATATAAGTAAAAATATTAAAGTAATGGCATAGTTTATATAAGAAAACACATAAATATAATTTAGATTTGCCATAATAGTTAATAAATTTTAGTATAGCTATTGAACAGCATATTATTATGGGTTTTAAGCTAAGTTTATGTTGCACATTTCTGTATTTAATGTGTGTAAATGCATTCATGAAATGCATTTTTTTCAAAATTAAGTTTCAAAATAATACGTCTATTTATTTATTTTGCCATTTCAAATGTGTCTATGTAAAACTCTTAAATCAAGGTAATCTTCTTTGTTTGTTTTTCCAAAGAGAAGATCCAAACCATAACAAACAAGCAAGAAAGAAAACAAGCAAGAAAGAAAACAAGCAAGCAGAAGTCAGAAACTCAAAAAGCCAAAAGGATTCTACTTGCACACCAGCTAATCAAAATGAACAGTTTAAGACTGTGTGTGCCAAAATGATGCATATGGGTGATCACTTGCTGTATTACAGGTGCAGTTATCAAATGTTTATATAAAATAGTAAGTCTAATTCAGTTTACACATTATTATTTAGTTAATGTAATAATAATGTTTTAAAGAAATGTACACAATATATAACATTTTCTATTTCATTTTTTATTGAAAAAAATGCATTCAAACTTAATACCTTCTTAAGGCTATGGATCATAATAAACAGTGATATTTTGGAGTCATATAATACAGCTATCCTGCAATTCACCTTCACTTTTGCTCAGTTTACTTGAGATATAGGAGTTTTTAAAAAAGTACGTAATATTTTAATGAACATTTTAGTTGAAGCCATATATAATGCTTTACTTAACATTAAAATAGTTATGTTCTTTTCCTCCTATAGCTATACATTGCCAAGATTGACAAAGTATCTGTTTAGCAAATTGCTTTCTAAGCTAATTATGAAAGACTTGTTTATGAGCTGTCCAACAAAGGCCATTATGCCAAACAATATTATTTATGTCAAATAATACTATACAAGCCAAAAAATATTTCTTAGTAAAAAAATTGAGAGACCATTTAATAAAATAAAATATCATGAAGGAATACAAATATTAAATGGTTCTCTCTTTTCTGTATTAACATTTTAGAGAAAAAGCTTTCTTACTGCCAGCCATCCATAGAATATGTAGGTATAATATTCAGAAAGGGACATACATATAAAAGAAGCTAGATTAAAATAGGCAGTATATCATAGTGAGAAAAGAGTGGGATTTTAGAATCAAATTAACTGGATTCAAAATCTACTCCAATTGTGTGGCCTAGGAAAGTTATTTAAGCTTTATGTGCTTCTTTGTCCTTTTATGTAAAATGAATATAATAAATTTTTCTGTGCTGTAGAATGACTGTGAGGACGGTATGACCTAAATTAACACATTTAAAGCACATGGAAAAGAACAAATAAGTATGCAATCCACATTTTCCTGTGATTGTGCTATTCTGGTTCTGATTCTCCTTTGAACTTCTTTAATGAAGTTCAAAAGGAGAACATTGACTTTTTAAAGAAAGCACATTATTTTAGAAGAGATTGAAAAACTTCTAATGGCTCAAAGACAATATAGGAGTAAAGAGATGCTAGATGTTTGGAAAGGGACCTAGAACAGAGGTTTGTGTTAACCTGATGCTTTAATATGTACTTATTGTCTAAATGGTAAATGTTTCCACTTGAATATTATTTCACAGACTTTCACAATATACATAAACATATGTATATACAATGTATTTGTATTTCAAAATTTTAGAGTTGATTTTCAAAAGATGGATATTATAGTTAGAGAAAGAATTCTATCTATGTAATAGTATATTGAGTCGGTTACTTACTCTTATTCTAATTATAACAAAGGCTCGAAAATGGCAGAAGGAGACAACATGTTTTATGCATTCCAAAGAAGCCTGCCAGTAAGCCACCAAAAATTAAAGTTGCATACGTTCTTCAAGAGTAAAACAGGAAGAAAATAGAACCTGCATTATGCTCCTCAAACCACCTATTCCACTGCTACCATAATCACGAGGTGTTTAGGTAAGACTAAGATTGGCAAAGGTACAGAAGTTATTGTGTGTGATCTTGCAGTAAACTCAGTGTTTGTGGTCTCTTGAGACTTAATTATTTCTTCTTGGCAGAATGAAAGGTGTATCAGTTAGCTAATGCTGCCAAATAATCCACTTAAACTTTAATGGCTTAAAACAACAACATACTTAACTTCCAATTGTATAATTTAGCAATTTAACTTGGTTCAGCTTAAAGGTTGCCCTGGTCTCATCTGGTCTTCTGTAGCACCTGTGATCAGATGTGGGTCAAGCGCTTGACTTTTGCTGATCTTGGATGCATTCTCACACATGTTAGACACTTCACCTGGGACAATTGGAATGACTCAATTCTGGTCCCTGTGGTTTCTCATCCTCCAGGAGATTAATTCAAGTTGATTCACACGGCAGGGGGAAGGATTCTGAAAAAAAGGTGGTGGTGTGGATTGCTTAAAGTCTAATCTTAGAACTGACATGCTTTGGTCTCATTGCATTTTATACTTAAAGCAACTCTCAAGGCAAACCCAATTTAAGGTGGAGGCAAATCACCTCCTGATGAACAGCACTTCAAGTTAATATTGTAGAAAGTACAGATAGGAAAGCAAAACAAAAATACAATCACTTTGCAAACAATCCACCACAAATGGTTATGGTTTTTCCTTCCCAAAATATTTTGTAATATTTAAAAAAACTATTTATTGTAATTGACAAGTAAAATTTTATATACTTGTGAAGTAGCACTTGGGGTTTTGATATATGTATACATTGTAAAATGGCAACTTCAAGCTAATTAATATGTGGATTACTTAATATACTTATCATTTTTCATGAGAACACAAAATCTATTCTCTTAGCCATTTTCAAATATTCAATACATTGTTATACATTGTTATAACTGTAGTCATTATGATGTACTATAGTTGTCTTGCACTTATTCCTCTTATGTAACTGAAAGTTTGTATTTTTGACCAACATCTCCTCAATCCTCCCAACCTCAGCCTCTGGTAACCACCATTTTACTCTTCATTTCTATGAACTCAACTATTTACACACCACATATATGAGATCAAGCAGTATTTAATATCTTTCTGCACCTAGCTATTTTTTCTTAACATAGTGTTCTCCAGATTCATTTATGTTGGTTCAAATGACAAGATTTCCTTTTTTTTTTTTTAAACTGAACAATATTCATTGTGTACATATACTACATTTTCTTTATCCACTTATTCATTGGTGGACCAACACTTAGGTTGATTCCATATCTTGGCTATTGTGAATAGTGCTACAATGAACATGGAAGTAAAAGTATCTCTTCAAGATAAAAAAAAAAAGAAAAAAAAAAGCACTTTCTTTTTGTAGTGAGAAGTGGTTGCTTCCAAGGAAAACACTTCTAAAGTTTGTGGCATTTTAAGGGATGGAGACGGGTTTTCTTCCAATGAGGAATTATTTTTGAGAACATAAACAAGCTGATTTTCATGTGTTTATGGAAAATATATTTTATTTGAAGAGTAATACAAAATATAGATACAGGTTTGCCATGGAGCAAACTGCAAATAAATTGAAGGAGGTGGCAAAAATATTTGGATTTTCTGTGGTCCAAGTGAGTATTGCAGTGGCTGAGCAGGAGCAGTATTACAGTTTTCTTACAATAAAATGGTGTTTGCTAAAATAAATTCCTGATTAGATTTAAATGAAAATAAAGCTTCTGGGTTATTATTTTTTCAATATCATCTAAGTGAAGTTAGACTAAATTATTGATATTGCCTTAAATTTTGTGCTCTCTAAACTTGTGTGTTCTTTATTTCACCATTATTAGTAACATATACAATGATACAAACATAAAAGAAAAAAAGTTGAAGATGAATATAAAATTTTCTCTAATACCAAAACTCAACTAAATTAATATCATGGTTAGTAATGTTTTAACCAACATCAATTGCTTATATTTAAAAAAGGAATGAAGGAGTCCACATTATAGTTGGGTAAGTTGCAAATTTTAGTTTTGCAATTCTTGACTCATGGGTGATGATAGTCATAGATGAAAAAATATCATCTAATTGCTCTTATCAATATATTTGTGCTAAAGAGCAAGAGAAAAACACATAGGTGATTAAAGTATACTAGAAAAAATGAAAAAATAGTAGAAATATAATAAAAATCAAGAATTCTGAATACTCACTTTACATTTTATAAAATGAAGTAATTTGAAGAGGCAGCATTTGAACTGGGTTACTAGGTGCTCTCAACGGTATGGGAGAACACTCACAGATAAGACATCAGTCTATTTAAAAAGTTGATTAGAATGAAAACTTCCCTGTTATGGTGGAAGTAGATTATGGAGGTATGTAAATGAAAGTAAGACTGGGAAAAAGTAAGGTGTTAGCGAAGTTATAAAAGAGATTTAATGTTATAATAATTTGTGCTTCATTCTGTATGAAATACGAAACCATTTAACATTTTAGAGAAAAGAAATTAAATAATCTAAGTAGATTTAAGACCAATAATTTGATAGAATGTGAAAATATATTGAATGAAGAAAGCCTAATAATGACCAAGTCTCTGTTTTCATCACTGCTGAATATTTTCTAATTACATAATCCTATGAATGTTTACAGGCCTCATGTACATATGTTTTCACATTATTTTCTCAAGATAATCAATCTACTGTTTTTGAAATATTTTATTCTTTTGGTGTTTATGATACTCCATAGTCATTATTTATTTTGCCTTTATAACACTTAATCCTCAAATACCTGCATGATCAACTCTACTTCCCACTACATATTACACTGAATATTACTTTGAGTTTTTTTTTTTTTTGGTCTCCCTGCCTCATGATATATAGCTGTAGTTTTTCTCATATAATTTCAAAGTGTCTAATACCATTTGTCTGAAGATACCTCACAGATACATATCTCTAGCAAAGTTCTCTCTGGAGCGTTTCAATCTAGATATACCACCTTGTATCTCAAACTCATTACTCAATAAACTTACTGAAGTCATTATTTATCAGAAAAGAAAATGTGTTGGTTATGCATTCTCAATTTTATTAAAAAACTGAAATTGGGCTTTCATTCTAAACTTAGACCGTTCAATCACTCTATACATTAAAATCTGCATGACAAAATATTTCTGTATCTTTCTATATTTTTCTATTACCATTTTTATTGCCTTAGTTTAGTTTTTTTCTCATCTCCTAGTAGATTCTTATAATAGCATTATAAATAGGTAGCTATTCCCTTTTAATTATTTTCCTCAATTAATTCCTCCAAAAATACATAACGATCACGAAAAAGAGGATAATTTTCTATATGAAATTTATTTAATAACTCCCCACATTTTAAGGAAAAAGTTCAAATTCCATAATGTTGCATGTAAGAGCCCTTGATCACGGCCCTCTTAACTGCATGTGTCTTTGAACATCTATGTATTGAGCTATTTTCGGTTCCACAAAAAATGCTAGGCTTCTGTGTTGCTCAGTAACTTTGTTTATAGTATTTTTTCTCTTTCTTTTATTCTAAAATGGCTTTCTCCTGTTTTTAAAAAAAGACAAACCCATCTTTAATTTATTTTATTTCCTCTATAAAGTGTCATCTGTCTCAGGCAGCATTTATTATTTGTTCTAGTGAGCCAGTCTGAGTTCCGCATGCGTATCTCATTATGTATTTCTACCGACCATAACACATTACTATATAGTTGTCTGTCTAGTCACCTACCACTGGAAAATAAGATTATGCTTTATAAAAACTTGTTCCATTATCCTTGAACACACAATCATTTAATTTATCATATATTTAACAATCATTTAATTTATTTATATATTTCTTGTTTATTATCTCTTTTTACCAGGAAAACAACATCAGATAACAGATCTTTGTGTATTTTGTTCATTGGTGCTTAAGACAGTGACTGGCACATAATCGGCATTCAAATCCTTTTAAATGGATGTATTAATACAAGAAAAAATATTGCAGTTTCTGGTTTGTCTAGAAATTGCCTTTATATTAACAAATGGAGCACACAATTCTTGAGGAATGACAAAAATCCATTGCCAGTGAATATATATTTTCTCTTAGGAAAATGCACATTCATCCTATGGACTGAATATTTGTGTTCCCTCAAAATTTATATGTTGCTGCCACAATCTCCAATGTGATAGTATTTAGAGATAAAAATCTCTGGGAGGTAATTAGGGTTAGTTGAGGCCATAAGTGTGGGATCCTCATGATGAGATTAATGCCATTATAAGAAGAGACAAGAGAGTTTGCTCTTTCCCTTTCTGCACACACATACTGATGAAAAGATCATGTGAAGATATACTGAAAAGACAGGTATCTGCATGCCAGCAAGACAGCCTTCCTAAGGAACCAAATTGACTGGCACCTTGATTTTGAACTTCCCATCTCCAGAACTTTTTAAAAAGAGTGTTTATGTTGTTTAAGCCACCCAATATAGAGTATATTTTTACAACAGCCTTAGCTAACGCAATCGATGCGCAGGCATCTGTAAATCCACCTGGGCCACAACACTGAGTTTATGTTTTTTTGCTGAGCATCTTTTGCATTTTTTTAGCTTGGTAGATGATATCAGCATCTACCCAGTTTTTCAGAAAATAAAAATGTTAAAAATTCTTAGAAATTATTTTCCTTTGGTCTCAGTGAGTAAGGCAGAAGTTTAGCCATACACTTGGTATTCTATAAAAAGGATGTTTTATGTCTCTGTGTGTGTTTGTGTATGTGTGTGTGTGTGTGGTTAGATAGCATAATTTTAAAAAAATCTAGTGCTCACTCACAAACGAATGGAGTACGGTTTTATGTTTAGTTCCAGCTTCTAGTTGTTCAAAGGAAGAAAGAGTCACCACCCATTCCTTTTCAGGATTATAACCTCAGACCCTGACTCCTACATTCAGTTCCTAATCACTGATGGTTCATACAGATTTAGTGTATTTTGCCAATCTAGTTTTAATGTCTGGAGTGTGGAAATGTTTCTTGTCTGTTTTTAGCATAAATTCATGTGTTATATTTGATTTGGTATTTCTTTGGGTGTGAAATGAGAAAATATCCTTTCTTTTTGTTAGCTCAGGCTATCAGAATAAACAGAAGTACAGAGTTAGTTTTTTTTCTTGGTTAAATTATGGCAATTATTTCTTAAATAATTTCTATGTATGACTCCTACTTATTTGATCAATTGTCACGTATAAAGTAGATAGTCCACCTTGCATGCTGAAATAGCATGCAAGCATGTTCGTTTGGATGCAAACATCTTTCTACTATAAATATTTCCCTTTAAAAGTGAGAGGTTAAAAACAAATATGCTGAAGTTAGGCAACCATCAAAGGGACTGATATATTTGATATCTTAGTTTGTTCACAGCTAAAATGATAATAATAAAGGCTATCAATAATTTCATAACTTTTTGTCAATATTGAGTGAGATAATTGTTGTCTATAATATGCTTAATACAGTTTCTAGATCTTAGTAAATTGTTGAAAATGTTGGTAAATATTTTTATAAGCTATCAATATTCTTAACGGAAAGATCAGACTCAATCAAGTATAAACAAATTCATCCTCCACCAATACACTCCTGATGAAAACAGATTGCAGAGTTTTAAGTAGAGATTTGATGTGATTATATTTGTATTTTAGATGCAAGGGAACTGTTAAATAACAGCAGGAGAAGCAGAAAAAATATATATAATTATGGTGAACTTTTGTTAAGTAATTAACTTGTCATTGATATGTATTTTATGGGTTTTATCTCATTATTGTGTATTAATCTTATTAAGTTGAGACACAATTTTAAGCCATAGCTCCTATTATATAATTAATACCCCTTATAACAATGATGACATTGTGGTTAGAGAGATTAAAACAATACCCCTAGGGTACTGTGTTCAGAAATACCAGATACAGAACTCAAATAGCGACTGTCTAAAAACAAAGTCCAAGTTCAGTGTAATAATTTTGAATCCTCAAAATACAGTACAATATAATATAAATAAAATTAATTAAATATATTTAAATCACATACTACAATTTATTTTTAATCTTATTTTTAATTAAATGACAGCCTATCCAGTCAAAACAGCAGCGTCTCTATTATTTTATTTCACTATATCATTGCTTATATCACAATAGTTAAAGGAACCTATTGTAGTAGAAAGAGACTAGTAAAATGAATCAAACTCAACAAGACAAGTTATGGGTTGATGTTTGACACTCTCTTAATTGTTGACATAATTAAGTGAACAGTACCATTAAAGTCACTATTTTGTAACTTGTGAGGTAAGGGGCGAAAATAAAATACTCTTTTCCTAATTAAATGACTATGAAGTGCCCATTTATTCTTTATTGGGGCAATTTAATACAAAGAAGCAGCCAACATTCTTTTTAAGCAAATGTGTTTCATTCTTTTTTTTTTTTCTTTTGTCTTATAACCCTCAGATGTGAGTAATTATTAGAATTAAGGTACTAAGAGTGCTATGGTAAAATTAACTTACAAAACTTACTTGCAAAGGGAGATATTTTTAAGGGGTTCTTGACCCAAATACTGTATTCTTTTTGATCATGGACTTAATTGTCTATTGAATATAAAGTGTAGAAAATTGTTGTGAAAAGAAAGTATAGCAGATTCTCAACAGCCTGGCTTAGGACGTAGATTGAAGACTATCTTATTATTATTTATATTACCCAAACTACTTCTTATTTTCAAGGGTCTTTAATACCATCATAGTTTTTTAGTAGGCATTGAAAGAAACTAGTGCTTTTCTTTTGCAAATAAGTTAGCAAAAATAATTTTATTAAATTCAGAAAAATAAAGGTAGTACTTTAGAAAACAGACATTTTAGAAATAGTTGCCTCAATTTGGTAAAATCAAAACTAACATAGTAGTCTTGTTATTGAAAAGGCACCTTTGCATGGTATCTTTTTGTTATTTATTGGTTGTGCATGCCTGTCCCCACCACAAATTCTCATTACCCCACCCCTTTGTATCAACAAAAAAATTATTGTTTTTTGAATGAAGATCTTAAGGCTGAGCAAAGAACAGCTCTTAGTTAAGAATTTCTCCTAAAATTGAACCTATCAGAGGCCTCTTATCTCCTGTGGGCCTAGTTAAACTCGTTGATATCAAAACCCTTTTCCCTCTCATACCTCTTTTATGAAACAATAAACTAATAATAAATAGTCTTAAAGACTTATATACATTAATATAAAATTCAATCCATTTCCATTTCTAAAAAGAATGAATAAATAATGTGAACAGGCATTTAACTGAAGAAAGAAATCATCTAAACATGTAAAATGACTGTGAAAATTATTACTATTTTATATAAGCAAATAATGAGTAAAAACTACAATTTTTAGTTCACTCAACTGGTCAAAAATGAAAGAGACTGACAGTTAAATATCTTTGACTTAGAGTGGATGAATCAGGATCTTCAGAACATTTTAAATGTACAAATTAATACAACACTTTTAGTAAACAGTTTGGCAATTTTAATTTTGGATATTTAACCAAGAAACATAGGTCATATGAGCCATGCAAAATTTACACCAAAAATGTACCCAGTGGCAGTCATTTGAAAAACAAAATCCAAGTATAACTCAGATATCTGCTATTGAATGGAAAGTACAGCATAATACATTTTCCAGCAATCTGCTATTGAATGGAAAATACAGCATAATACATTTTCCAGCAATGAATTATGATTACTCATGTGAAATATTATTGCTGGAAGTTTGTTAGACACTCAGTGCCCAATGTTTTATGGGGGTTTGTCACATAATTATCCTCTGCCCTGCATGTGCCAACCTTCTAGACCCTCATACAGAAAGCTGGTGTTTGGCATAAACCATACTATTTGCACACAAAGTTTTAGCATAGTGAGCCTTTCTTAGGGAATATTCATAGAATTAAATATACAGAGTACAAATGAGTGAATGTTACAACTCACCAATAAAAATGATAATAATTCAGAATAATATTAGCAAATTGGCAGAATAGGAAGCCCGGAGAAATAGTGACCTAAAACTTCTCAAATATGAAGAGGGTAATGGACATCAAAATTCAAGATAGCAAAAATTTTCTAATTAATACGAACCCACAATGAGCTGAGACATGTTATAATTAAAGTGTTAACAGTCAAAGAAAAGAGAATATCTTGAAAGAAGCAAGGGGAAAATGACTATGTACAAGTGGGTTCCCATGAAATTAACAGTGAATTTATCAGCAGAAACATTATAAGCAATAAGAAAATGAAATAGTATGGTGTGCCCTAAGAAAAAAAAAACTGTCAACCAAGAATACTACATTCAATGAAATTATTTTTCAAATGTAAAGGAGAAGTAAAGACATTCCCGGGTTGACAAAACCTAAGGGAGTTTATCCCCACTCAACCTGCAGTATAAGAACTGCTAAAGGAAATGCTTCAAGAAAAAATGAAATGACTTTAGACAATAATATAAAAGCATACAAAAAATAAAGTTTCTGGTAAAAGTAAACATATAGACAAAGATTGGTTCCTGTAATATTGTAATGATTGTATATACATCACATTTAATTAATGTGTGAGATTTAAAAGATAAAAGTATACATATAAATATAAAACTTACTGGATACACAATTTTTAAAGATGTAATTTGAGGCATCAATAACATAATTACATTTGGAGGAGATGTAAAAGTAGAGTTTGTATACATGATGGAAGTTAAATTGATATCACCTTAAAATAGGTTATTGTAACTTTAAGATATTTCATATAATCTCCATTATAATCACAAAGAAAATAACTATAGAAGAAACACTAAGAAAGAAAATAGAGCATATCAGTAAAAAAAAATCAACAAAACACAAATAAATTCAGCAAAAGAGAAAAAGAAATCGAAAATAACTATAGTGCATACAGTAAACAATTGACAAAGTGGAAATAGTAAGTAATTCTCCCTCAGTAATTATGTGTAAATGGATTTAGCTGTCCACTAAAAAGACACAGACTATTTGAATAGATATAAAAACAGGATAAAACTGTGTAGTGTATAGAAGAGATTAATTTAGGTATACAGGCACACATAGGCTGAAAGTAAAAAACAAGAAAAAAATTTTCCATTCAAAAGTTATCCAAAATGAACAGCAGTGATCATTTATATCAGACAAAATCAACTTTAGGATAATAATTGCCATGACAAAGAAAGATATTTTATTATAATAAAAAGGTCATTTCACCTGAAAGATATAACAGCTAACCTCAGCACA